>NW_014040931.1:0-174749 GCF_000001405.40 Homo sapiens | reverse complement strand
GATCCTTTCTGAATTAATAAATTTATTACTTGTTTTTACTAAACTTATTTTGTTCAGCTTTTCAAGGAATGCCAGTTCACTCTACTGTTTTCAGGGTTTTTAAAAAATCAACTTGCTTTCAAAATCAAAATATTAGATTTTAACATTCCAGCATAAATCTTTTTATATAAATAAAACTTTTGTTGATGCTTTTGGTTTTTCATACGCCTATATTTAAGGGGTAAATCTTGAAAATATTACTAAGGAATTGGAATTGACATCTAATTATAGTAGTTGAGATAATATATTTATGTAATCCCTTTTAGAGAAGTTTAATAAATATTTTTCAACAGACAAAGCATTATCTCTACTTTATTTTTTTTTCTATATTTTGATACTAGCCCGTCCTGTATCTGTTGAAGAAGCTTTCTTAGTGATTCGTTAGGAAATTCTCTTTCTGGAACCCAGTGACAGTGCAACTCAAGTAGCGTCTCTACTAATGTGAAGTCACAACACTGATCATGTAGAACTCATGTATCTGATTTCATTAGCAAATTAGTAGATGGTGTAGGTTTCTAAGGAAGAGTGAACTAATGCATTCTCTTTGCTTTAGTTTACATTAAATCATTAGGGAATAGGGAAATAGGAAATTTTTTCTTTTGCCACTTATAAATGAATAAAGCCTTAGTTTTTGTTTTGTTGTTTTTTTCCTATGGCCCCCTGTCACTTGAAGGCCTTAGTTTTATAAACCAGTATTTTGCTTCTCTTATTGACCTGATTCAGTTTATTAGCCTTTTATTAAAATATATACTATATACTTCATAATATTTTATTTTTGTTAAACATTTGACTCTACTAAATTAAATATTTGAAAAAATCTCACTATAACAGTATTTTTATTCTAGAGTTAAAATGGTTGTATGAAAATAGTTATTTTTGTTAAAATAGTTTTATATATAGGGATAATTATATACGTTTAAAAATGCCAAGATTGTTACTCTAGTGTTTCAGTTAAAAAAGCTTTTAAAGGCTGGGCACCGTGGCTCACACCTGTAATCCCAACATTTTGGGAGGCCGAGGTGAGCAGCGGATCATGAGGTCAGGAAATTAAGACCATCCTGGCCAACAAGGTGAAGCCCCGTCTCTACTAAAAATACAAAAATTAGCTGGGCATGGTGGTGCGTGCCTGTAATCCCAGCTACTTGGGAGGCTGAGGCGGGAGAATCGCTTAAACCTGGGAGGTGGAGGTTGCAGTGAGTCGAGATGTGCCACTGCACTCCAGCCTGGCGACAGAGCTGGACTCAGTCTCCAAAGCTTTTAAAACTGTCTTGTGTGTGGATAAAGGTGATTTTTAAGAATATTTTATAAAATATTACCGAAGTTTATGTTTGTAGGTGTTAGCTCTCCCAAAGACTTCTTGAATAGTTGTTTCAGACGGGTTTAGGCCATAATTCTGAAAGAGACAGTTCTTTTTTTTATTTTTTTCTTTTTTTTTTTGAGATGGACTTTCGTTCTGTCGCCCAGGCTGGAGTGCAGTGGTGCTCGGCTCACTGCAACCTCTGTCTCTTGGGTTCAAGTGATTCTCCTGCCTGAGCCTCCCAAGTAGCTGGGATTATAGGTGCGTGCCACCACACCCGGCTAATTTTTTTGTATTTTTACAAAAAAAAATACAGGTAGAGACAGAGTTTCGCCATGTTGCCCAGGCTGGTCTTGAACTCCTGACCTCAGGTGATCTGCCCACCTTGGCAGGGTTTTGCCACGTTGGCCAGGCTGGTCTCAAACTCCCGACCTCAGGTGATCTGCCCACCTCAGCCTCCCGAAGTGCTGGGATTACAGGCATGAGCCACTGCGCCTGGCCTAAAAGACACAGTTCTTGATGCCATAATCCCAAATACTGAAATCCCAAAATATCGAAATCCAAACAATATAATTCTGGAAAAAATAATTTTAAAACATTATTTAAAAAATACTTATTTGGGCCAGGTGCGGTGGCTCACTCCTGTAATCCCAGCATGTTGAGAGGCCTAGGTGGGCAGATCACTTGAGCTCAGGAGTTTGAGACCAGCCTGGCCAACATGGCAAAACCCCGTCTCTACTAAAAATATAAAAATTATCTAGGCATGGTTGCAAGTGCCTGTAGTCCCCGCTACTCGGGATGCTGAGGCACGAGAATCACTTGAACATGGGAGGCGGAGGTTGCAGTGAGCTGAGATCATGCCACTGTACTCCAACCTGGGTGACAGAGTGAGATTCTGTCTCAAAAAAAAAAAAAAAAAAAAAAAAAAAAGACACTTGTTTGGCCAGGTACAGAGTCTCACACCTGTAATCTCAGTATTTTGGGAAGCCAAGGTGGGCAGATTGCTTGAGCCCAGGAGTTCAAGATCAGCCTGGGCAACGTGGAGAAACCCTGTCTCTACAAAAAAATACAAAAATTAGCAAGCTAGCGTGCACCTATAGTCCAGCTACTTGGGAGACTGAGGTGGGAGGATCTCTTGGGTCTGGGAGGCAGAGGTTGGAGTGAGCTGTGATGGCGCTGTCTGGGCAACAGAGCAAGACTTTGTCTTCAATAAACAAACAGAAAAACCACTTATTTACCTTTTTTAAAGGGGATTTATTTGAGAAACAAAAACATGACAACACTTCATAGGCCACTTAATATAGTTTGGATATGTGTCCCTGCCCAAATCTCATGTTGAATTGTAATCCCCAATATTGGAAGTGGAGGCTGGTAGGAGGTGATTGGATTATGTGGGTGGATTTTTCATGAATGGTTTAGTACCATCCCCTTGATGCTGTCCTCGAGACGGTGAGCGACTTCTCGCGAGATCTGGCTGTTTTAAAAGTGTGGCACCTCACACTCTCTCTTGCTCAGTCCTCATCATGTGATGTGCCTGTTCCCCCTTTGCCTTCTGCCATGATTGGAAGCTTCCTGAGGCCTTCCTGGAAGCAGGTGCCACTATGCCTCCTGTACAGCCTGCAGAACTGTAAGCCAATTAAATCTCTTTTCTTTTAAGTATTCCTTCATAGCAATGCAGGAACAGCCTAGTACACCACTTTACACAATAAAATAGTAACAAATGTATTTTGCAAGTTTAATCACTCAGTATACTAACCGTAGTTGCATGGGTGTTACATTTTGTAACTGTGGTCCTCTGAAATACCATGATGGACAAACTAGGTCTTTTGATGAGGTAGTAAAAACAAGGATGGGTCATCACTGTGTGTGCAGTCTCCTGAAGAGCAGAGATATTGTTGAATTTTATCTTTCACAAAAACAGTATAAAAAAAGGACATCTCATTGAAGGTTCACCTTTTTTTTTTTTTTTTTTTTTTGAGATGGAGTTTCACTGTTGTTGCTGAGGCTGAAGTGCAATGGTGTGGTCTCGGCTCACTGCAACCTTTGTCTCCTGGGTTCAGGCGATTTTCCTGCCTCAGCCTTCCAAGTAGCTGGGATTACAGGCGCCCCGCCACCACGCCTGGCTAATTTTTGTATTATTAATTTTTGTAGAGACAGGATTTCACCGTATTGGCCAGGCTGGCCTCGAACTCCTGACCTTGGGTGATCTGCCCGCCTTGGCCTCACAAGTGCTGGGATTACAGATGTGAGCCACCGTGCCTGGCCAGTTTCAACTTTTTTTAAAGAGACCATAGTCTTCTAGCTATGTTGCCCATGCTGGAGTGCAGTGACTATTCACAGGCATGATCATAGTGCACTTCAGCCTCAAACTCCTGGCCTCAAGTGATCCTCCTACCTCAGCCTCCCTAGTAGCCGGGACTGACTACAGGTGCTCCACCACACCTGGCTTCTACGTTTTGATGAACACAGCCAGAGCTTACACATGAAGTCAGTGTTGTGATAATGCACTTCTGTGGAGTTCAGT
Organism: Homo sapiens; assembly: GCF_000001405.40. Lineage (NCBI taxonomy): Eukaryota > Metazoa > Chordata > Mammalia > Primates > Hominidae > Homo > Homo sapiens. Next base: position 170,889 of record NW_014040931.1, on the reverse strand, counting down.
TTGCAAAAAAAAAATGCATAGAATTAATTAGAACTCTCCAAAAGTCTCTACACAATTTATATCTCCAGTATTAGAAATGATGTGAAGATAAAATATATAGCATAGCAAATTGGCACTATGTGTGAAGGAGCAGAAATAATACACCATTGAATAATTTGGCAGGGGAGATTTCTTGTATTTTTTGCCTGTATTTTCACTTCTGCGATCTTCAAAGCACTTGCTCCAGTTTTATTTGCAAAGTGGTTGTGATCCACAAATTTTGTAAGTATATACTGTCTATTTGAAAGCCTGATTATTGCCTGGCCGTTGCAATTTCTGCTTTTGCAGCACCAGTGATAATTAGCTTTTAAACTTTTATCTTTCGCCATTAAGTAGCCGTGTACACTTATCAGAGCCTTTTTGCGAGGGAAGAGTTTCACAGATCTCTTCAATTGTGCTGTAAAGAATAAAGTAAGAAGAACTGATACTCAGCTTCCCCAACACCAAATCTGCATTAGTCAGGGTTCCCTAGGGAGACAGAACCAATAGGATATGTGTATAGATATGAGGGAATTTATTAGGGGAATTGGCTCATATGATTAATGGTGGCTGAGAAGTCCCATGACAGATCATCTGCAGGCTTGAGACCCTGGGATGCCAGTAGCATACCTCAGTCCAAATCCAAAGGCCTCAGAACCAGGGAAGCTAATGGTGTTATCTCTCGGTCCAAGGTCAAAAAGCCTCAGAATTCAGGGGGCCACTGGTTAAGTCCTGGAGTCCAAAGGCTGGCAAGCCTGGAGTTCTGATGTCCAAGGCAGCAGAAGAAAAGTCTGTTCTAGCTCTCAGCAATTCACCTTCTGTGTACTCCCTGGGCTCCTGGCTGATTGGATGATACCCACCAACATAGAGGGCTCTCCTTGCCTACTCAGACTCGCACACTAATCTCTGAAAACATCCTCACAGACACACACACAACACAGTGCTTTACCAGGTTTCTAGGTGTTCCTGTCAAGTTGATAGCTAAAATTAAGTCCACAAATCTATCCTCGGCAACTTGGTACCCATAGGCATCTCCTTAAACCATACTTAATTTCCAGATAATGACAATAGCAAGGTCATAGTTCCACCTAGCATGGTGTAACTATTGTGTACAACCAAAACTATGCAAATTCCCTGCCCCAAAATTCGGCTTTTGGGATTTCATCATTTGGGATTTTAATCTTTTGGGGTTGTGGTTTTAAACATTAGGGATTTTTAGACTTTAGTCTTTTGGGATTTTAACATTCAGGATTATGGCATTTGGGATTATGATTGGTACTGATTGCAGACAGTTTTTGCTAAATCTAGTGTTTAGATATAGCAGCAAAATAATTTCTATGTATATTTAATCACTGATGTAGTAAATCAGTAGTTAATATTTACAGATCCCTTACCCAGTACCAGGCACAGTGCACGTTTTATATTCATTATTTAATTCTCTCAGAATAACCCAATAAAGTCAGTATTTTATCTGTAAAACGGGGATAAAGAAACAGACTGAAGAGAGATTCATTCATTTGGAAGAGGTTCCTCAGCCACCAAGTGATAGAGCCAGGGCTGGCATGCAACTCTATGTGGCTTCAAAACCTGTTTCTCCCTTTTAGTGTAAAATGTATACTTTGTAAAAATGTACACCATGTGGCTGCTGCTTTCTCCCCACACTGACAGGCTTTCCCTGCCCACCTGAGCCCAGGCAGCGCCCACATGAGTACGTGCTCTCTCCCTCAGCCCTGTTCTCCCTTCACAGCAATTATCTGACAGTCTTGTCTTGTATCTGTTTCCTTCACAAAATGTAAGCACCATGGGATGGAAACTTTGCCTACTCCATCCCTGTCTGCATCCATGTTTCCTAGAGTAGTGCCTGACACACAGTAGGAGCCAACATATTTGTTGTAAAGGCTATGAACCAGAAGGTTGTATCAGTCTACAATATTCACTTTTTAAGTCACTTCTGTAGAACAGACTATTAATTTTTTCTTTCTAGTTAGTGATTTTAAGTGAGGAAATTGAAGAGAGGTGTCTTGAAGAGATGCGGAGGAACCAGTCAAGTAGGAGACAGGTCAAGGCTTGTGGAAGTAGAGATTGGTAGTGGTTTAAATGAGCATGGTGCTGGACCTGCCTGAGCTCTTGTAGCTTCGTGAATAGTAACCTTTCTTCCCCAGTCCCTGGTCTAGTGTCTTCCCAACTACTGCCAGAAAATCTTCTGAAAGGTAGCTCTTGTCGTATCCTTTTCATTTGTGTACTGAGTTAAATTTAGACACCTTGCCTTGGTCTTCAGGGTTCCATGGTAGGACCCTGCCCTGCCTCTCTAACCACATCTCCTGGTTTCCCCAGTTGTATCCTCTGCTGCAGCTCGGTGTCCCCAGAGGTGCCTTTATTTCCAGGTCTGGGTCCGTGTCCTCTTTTCTGTTCTCCATCTTATCTTTTTTTTTTTTTTTTTTGAGATGGAGTCTCGCTCTATCACCCAGGCTGGAGTGCAGTGGCACCATCTCGGCTCACTGCAAGCTCCGCCTCCCGGGTTCATGCCATTCTCCTGCCTCAGCCTCCTGAGTAGCTGGGATTACAGGCGCCTGCCACCACGCCAAGCAAATTCTTATATTTTTAGTAGAGATGGGATTTCACCATGTTGACCAGGCTGGTCTCTAACTCCTGACCTCAGGTGATCCACCTGCCTCGGCCTCCCAAAGTGCTGGGATCACAGGTATGAGCCACCGCGTGCAGCCTGTTCTCCATCTTTTGAGATAGTTATATTTCAAGGCCTTTCTCAAATGTTACTTTTCTCCATGAAATCTAACATTCCCTTAACTGGATGTTTCCTTCATGACGTTTGTAATTTTCTGGTGCACCTTTAATCTTTGCTTTTTGCTTTTTATTATACCTTTCTTTTTTCCTTTTTTTTTTTTTTTTAATTTTTTGAGACAGAGTCTTGCTCTGTCCCCCAGGCTGGAGTGCAGTGGCGCAATCTCGGCTCACTGCAACCCCTGCTTCCCAGGTTCAAGCAGTTCTCCTGCATCAGCCTCCCAAGTAGCTGGGATTACAGGCACCCGCCACCACGCCTGGCTAATTTTTGTATTTTTGGTAGAGATGGCGTTTCACCATGTTGGCCAGGCTGGTCTCAAACTCCTGACCTCGTGATCTGCCTGCCTCAGCCTCCCAAAATGCTGGGATTACAGGCGTGAGCCACCGTGCCCAGCCTATTATACCTTTCTAAATGTGTTCTTGCCCTCCTTCCCCAGTCCTCCCTGAGGGCAAGATTATGGTATTGGCACTTGCCGTATCCTCTACGGTGCATTGAACACATGAACAAGCAATCATTTTAGAGGTAGAGAAAAACACGTACGAGAAAAAGGCAAACAATGGTATTTAGTTTTGGTGTAGGGAAGACTTGTCCTTTTCCAAGGATTAGTTTTGGTGGTCAGGAAGCTTTTTGAAGCCAGGAGAAACAATGTAGGTAAAGAATTAAGTATATTGAGGCCAGGCCTGGTGACTCATGCCTGTATCCCAGCACTTTGGGAGGCCGAGGCGGATGGGTCACTTGAGGTGAGGTAAAGAGTTTAAGACCAGCCTGGCCAACATGGCGAAACCCTGTCTCTACCAAAAATACGAAAGTTAGCTGGGCGTGGTGGCATGCGCCTGTAACGCCAGCTACACGGAGGCTGAGGTAAGAGAATCACTTGAACCTGGTAGGTGGAGGTTGCAGTGAGCCAAGATCACACCAGTGCACTCCAGCCTGGGTGACAGAGTGAGACTCCATCTCAGAAAAAAAAGAAAAAAGAAAAAGAATTAAGCAAATTGGGTCTAGTATTTTAGAGTAGAAGAAAAGAAACCAAATGGGGAAACGACTGAGAAGCACCATTTTTCAGAGTTTGGGGATGAGTCCTAGTACTTGTCCTCAGGGTGTTCAACAGTATTGTGTGGGAAACAGACAACTAGATCATTGATAATACGTTGTAAAAATTTGACCATAGAGCTGGCTGTGGTGGCTCATGCCTGTAATTCCATCTATTCAGGGGCTGAGGTGGGAGGATTGCTTGAGGCGAGGAGTTGGAGACCAGTCTGGGCAACGTAGTGAGACCTTCTCTCCAAAAAATACATAAATAAAATTTAAAAATAAAATTGGCCATAGAGAGGGAAAGGCGCTAGAAAACATTGGTTAATTCTACCAAAGCTTAGTAAGAGCTAGTGATCTTAGCAAAATTGAGGTCCTGAGCAGGTGGGCAGAAAGGTTGACATCGCGCTGGAGGAAGCTGTCTTAGGGTGAATACATGAATTGTCTTGACCCCCTTAAAAGGGCATTGCAGAAGGTATCACAATATTTTAGGAAGATGATGGTGAAAGGTTAGTTTTTAGTACTAGGACTCAGTTCTTAAGGGAGAAGTAGGTCAGTGTTCAAAGAAACAATATTTAATTTAGTGTTAGAAACCTCCCAGATAGCATCTTGTTCTTCCACGTTTCATGTTTTTGCAGGGCCGAGATGAGTAGCCATGGGAATGAGACAGGAGTAAAGGAGGCTGGACACAGTAGTTGACGCCTACAATGGGATGCTAGGTGGGAGGATCACTTGAACCCAGGTGTTGGAGACCAGCCTGGGCAGCATAGTGAGACCTCGTCTCTACAAAATTAAAAATAGCCGGGCATAGTGGTGCATGCCTGTAGTCCCAGCTACAAAGAGAAAAAAAGGAGTAAGGGAGATAACTAAAGGGGAAGACTATGTAATGAATTACTTGCTCTTGCATGTCCTAGGTTCTTCTCAGTTACACCTTTTTAGAGATTTTTTTTCTTTTTCTTTTTCTCTTCTGAGACAGGATCCGGCTCTGTTGCCCAGGCTGGAGTGCAGTGGCATGATCACGGCTCACTGCAATCTCCGCCTCCCAGGCTGAAGCAAATCTTGTGCCTCAACCACCCCAGTAGCTAGGATTACAGGTGCGCACCACCATGCCCAGCTGATTTTGGTATTTTTTTTTGTAGAGATGGGGTTTCGCCATGTTGTCCAGGCTGGTCTTGAACTCCTGAACTCAAGTGATCCTCCTGCCTCAGCCTCCCAAAGTGTTGGGATTACAGGTGTGAGCCACTGCGCCCAGCCAGATTTTTTTAAATTGATATGAAATTCACGTGACAAAATTAATCATTTTTAAGCGAACACTCGAGTGGCGTTTGCTGCATTCACAATGTGTGCACCCATAACAACCTGTATCTAGTCCCAAAGTAAACCTGCTACCCATTAAGCAGTTACTCCCCTTGCCCTCTTCTGCCAGTCCTTTGCAACCACCGATCTGCTTTCTGTTTTTAGATTTACTTCTTTTGGATATTTCATTAGATGGAATCGTACAATATGTGACCTTTCATGTCTGACTTCTTTCACTTAGCGCGTAGTGTTTTGAGATTTATCTACATTGTATTGTGTATGAGTACTTCATTCCTTTTCATGGCTGAATACATACTCAGTTTTATGTATATACCACAATCTGTTCATCCGTTCATCTGTTGATGGACATTTCGGTTGTTTCCACCTTTTGGCTATTTTGAATAGTGCTGCTATGAACATGTGTGTATATCTATTTGTTTGGATACCTGTTTTCACTTATTTTGAGTATATACCTAGGAATGGAGTTGCTGGATCGTGTAATTCTGTATTCAACTTTTTGAAGAACCACCAGACTTTTTCACAGTGGCTGAATATTTTATATTCCCATGTGTGGCCCAGGCTGGAGGGCAGTGGCATGATCGTGGATCACTACAGGCTTCACTCACTGGGCTCGAGTGATTCTCTTGCTTCAGCCTCCCAAATAGCTGGGATTACAGGTATGTGCCACCATACCTGTCTAATTTTTGTATTTTTATAGACAGGGTCTCACCATGGTTGGCCAGGCTGGTCTCCTAACTCCTGGCTTCAAGTGATCCAGTGTGCCTGGCCCCCACCAGCAATATGTGAGGGTTCCAGTCTCTCCACATCATCACCAACACTTGTAATTTTTTGTTTTCTTTCCTATAGCCATACCTATGGGTATGAAGTGCTGTGTCATTGTGGTTCATTTTTCCTGATACATTAACTTTTTAAGAGAAATGTTAGTAGACTTTATTGCTTAGAGCAGTTTTAGGTTTACAGAAAAAATGAGCAATAAGAGAGTTCCTGTTTACCCTCCCTCAATCCAACCATAGGTTCCACTATTACTAATATCTCATATTAGTGTGGTGCATTTGCTACACTTGATATACAGTATTGATATTTTATTATTAACTCAAGTCCAGTTCATATTTGACCTTTTTTTGTTTGTTTTTGAGAGGGAGTCTTGCTCTGTTGCCCAGGCTGGAGTGCAGTGGTGTGATCTCAGCTCACTGCAACCTCCACCTCCAGGGTTCAAGCGATTCTCCTGCCTCAGCCTTCTGAGTAGCTGGGATTACAGGCACCCACCACCATGCCTGCTAATTTTTATATTTTTAGTAGAGACAGGGTTTCACCGTGTTGGCCAGGCTGGTCTCAAATTTCTGACGTCAAGTGATCAGTCCACCTCAGCCTCCCAAAGTGCTGGGATTACAGGCGTGAGCCATCATGCCTGACTTTTTTTTTTTTTTTTTTTTTTTTTTTTTGAGACAGTGTCTTGCTCTGCCAGCCAGTGCAGTGGTACAATCATAGCTCGCAGTAACCTTGAGCTGCTGGATTCAGGTGAGATTACAGGTGCTAGCCACAGCAACTGACTTGAGTTCATTCTTTGTTGTATATTCTGTGGGTTTGGACAAATGCATAATGTCTTACATCTGCTAATACAGTATTATACAGAATTGTTTCACTATCCCAGGAGTCACCTGTACTCTCTCCGTATTCATCCTTCCCCCTCTTCCCTTGGATCCTTGGTAATCATTGATCTTCCTACTGACTTTACAGTTTGGTGTTTTCCAGAATATTATATAGCTAAAGTCATGTAGCCACTTCAGATTCATGTCTTTCACTTAGCAATAATCATTTAAGGTTCCTGCATGTCTTTTTTCTTTTTTTGAGACAGAGTCTTGCTCTGTCACCCAAGCTGAAGTGCAGTGGTGCGATCTCCACTCACTGCAACCTCTGCCTCCTGGGTTCAAGTGATTCTCCTGCCTCAGTCTCCCGTGTAGCTGGGATTACAGGTGCCCACCACCACCCTTGGCCAAGTTTTGTATTTTTAGTAGAGATGGGGTTTCACCATGTTGGCCAGGCTGGTCTTGAACTCCTGACCTCAGGTGATCCGCGTGCCTCAGCCTCCCAAAGTGCTGGGATTATAGGTGTGAGCCACCTCGCCTGGCCGGGTAGAGAGATCTTCACAGTTGAAAATACCTCTTCTAAATCCTTGACTTTGAGCTCCTCACGTGCTGAGAGTGTTGTAAGTTCGTCTATATAGTATACCCTATGATAACCCCTAATATGACCACAATAGATATTTAATTGTGGTGGTACTATACTTACAGAACAGGTTCATGTTATTTTTGGAAGACATTCTAGATAATAGAGACCATCTGTTTTGTATTCACCAAGATTCTTGATTCTTTGGTGATATCTCTTATTTGTTCTGGAAAATTCCCAATACTTCTCCTCACTTACTGCCTTGCCTCCATTCCCTTCTCATTCTAAGAGTCCACCCATACAGGGATACATTCAACCTTGTAGTCACCCTTTCTTTTCTGTTTTTTTTTTTTTTTTTTTTTTTTTGAGGCGAAGTCTCGCTCTGTCGCCCAGGCTGGAGTGCGGTGGTGCGATTTCGGCTCACTGCAACCTCCGCCTCCTGGGTTCAAGTGATTCTTCTGCCTCGGCCTCCCGAGTAGCTGGGACTTACAGGCACTTATTACCACGCCTGGCTAATTTTTTGTATTTTTAGTAGACACGGGGTTTCACTGTGTTAGCCAGGATGGTCTCGATCTCCTGACTTCCTGATCTGCCCGCCTAAGCCTCCTAAAGTGCTGGGATTAAATGGCATCCATTACAAGTGTTTTTTTTCTTTTCTATTTTTCATTCTGGGTAGATTACTTTGACCTGTTTTCAGTTAATCAGTCTTCTCTTTGACTAATCTGCGTTTTTTTGAGACAAGAGTCTCACTCTTTCGCCCAGGCTGGGGTGCAGTGCAGTGGCACGATCTTGGCTCTCACTGCACCCTCTGCCTCCTGGGTTCAAGCAGTTCTTGTGCCTTAACCTCTCGAGTAGCTGGGACCACAGGTGTGTGCCCCTACACCTGGCCAATTTTTGTACTTTTAGTAGAGATGGAGTTTCACCATGATGGCCAAGCTGGTCTTCAACTCCTGGCCTCAAGTGAGCCACCTGCCCCAGCCTCCCAAAGTGCTGGAATTACAAGTATGAGCCACCGCGCCAGCCGATTAATCTGCTTTTAATTTAATAACTCAATGGATAGTTCTTACCAATATCTTACTGTATTTTTCAGTTGTGATTCTTTTCAAGTCTGCTACATTGTTTTTTATGGATTCCTGTTCCCTGCTAAATTTTTCAAACTTCGCTTTTATTTCCTAGAACATACTAAATATAATTCTTTTATAGTCTCCTGATATCTCCAGTATTTGGAGTTCCTTTGGATCTATAACTGCCTCTCATGGTTCTTACTCATGGTACTTTGTTCATATGTTTGTGTGCTGGACATGGTATTTGAAAAATTGTTTATAGAAATAATTAGAGGCTTTGGGTGTGATGTCTTTTTCCAGGTGACTGACGGCACTAGCCAACGAGGATCATTTTAATACAAGTTGAAGCCCAGGCGCGCTGGCTAAGGCCTGTAATCCCAGAGCACTTTGGGAGACTGAGGCAGGCAGATCAGCTGAGGTCAGGAGTTCGAGACCAGCCTGGCCAACATGGTGAAACCCCCTCCTTACTAAAAATACAGAAATTAGCCGGGCGTGATGGCGGGTGCTTGTAATCCCAGCTACTTGGGAGGCTGAGGCAGGAGAGTCGTATGAACCCGGGAGGCGGAGGTCGCAGTGAACTGAGATGGCGCCACTGCACTCCAGCCTGGGGGGGACAGAGCAAGACTCTGTCTCAGAAAAAAAAAAAAGTTGAAGATTTGAGTTTTTTATGGACTATCCAGATGGTTTGAAGCTGAGTCCATGGGAGGGCTTATTTACTTCTACTTCAGTCTTACTCCTAGGATGCAGCCCTATGGGGCCTCAGTTCACAGGTTCGCTGGGGTGAGGAGCGCGTTACTGAGTTATGAGTTATAAGTTATCTCCTATGCAAGGCCTTGGAGTGAGCCAGGCACTTTCTGGGCCTCCACTGGCAAATCAACAAATGCCCCCAGGTCTTGCCTCTTTCTTTGGATTTCCATCTTTTTCAGGATATTAATTTGGTAATATCTCACTATCTTGTTAGATTTTTGTTACTTTTGGAAAGATGTATATATATTGTATCCAGTTTTTTGTGCAGTTATTTAGTCTGTATTACTGTAAACAGAAAACAAGGTCTTATTTTCATGGACTCATGTTATTCTAACATTAACCTTGAAACAAGTGACCATATGGTGAGTGATACTATTATACTGTATTATTGTTTATGTCTCTGTGTGACACTGTTAAGATGCCTGAATTGTTTGGGTAAACCAGGTGGTATTGGTTGGTGGGTGCTTTAAGACTCACTATCTAGAGCATGATCTCTGCAGCCAGTCGCCTGATTTTTGAATCCCAGCTCTGCCCCTTGTTTGCAATGTGACGTCAAGCAAATGACTATTCTGCCTCTGTTTCGTTGTCTAGAAAATGGAAATAATAATTGTACCTACCTCGTGGGTGGCTGTGCCAGTTAAATTAGTTCATAACTAAAGCTTTTAGAACATTGCCAGACTTACAGTAATGATTAGATAAATTTTAGCTATTATTATTACCACCTAGAAGCTTTGGAAATACAGGGATACCTCATTTTATTGCATTCTACTTTATTGTACTTCACAGATATTGTGGGATTTTTTTGTTTTATAAATTGAAGGTTTATTGCAACCCTGCATTGAGCAAGTCTAAGTCTGTTGGTGCCAATTTTTCAACAGCATGTGCTCACTTTGTGTCTTTGTGCCACATTTTGGTAATTCTCCCAATATTTTAAACATTTTATTCATTTTATTTTATTTATTTTTGAGTCGGAGTCTCGCTCTGTCTCCCAGAGCTGCACTGGAGTGAAGTGGCGCCATCTCGGCTCACTACAACCTCCACCTCCTGGGTTCTAGCGATTCTCCCCCTCAGCCTCGTGAGTAGCTGGGATTACAGGTGTGCACCACCATGCCCGGCTAATATTTTTATTTTTAGTAGAGGTGGGGTTTCACTGTGTTGGCCAGACTGGTCTGGAACTCCTAACCTGAAGTGATCTGCCTGCCTCAGCCTCCCAAAGTGCTGGGATTACAGGCATGAGCCACCACACCTGGCCTGAATATTTTAAACTTTTTTTTTTTTTCTGAGAGAGATTTTCACTCTTGTTCCCCAGGCTGGAGTGCAATGGCGTGATTTTGGCTCACTGCAATCTCCGCCTCCGGGGTTCAAGTGATTCTCCTGCCTTAGCCTCCCGAGTAGCTGGGATTACAGGCATGCGCCATCACGCCCTGCTAATTTTGTATTTTTAGTAGAGACGGGGTTTCTCCGTATTGGCTAGGCTGGTCTCGAACTCCTGTTCTCAGATGATCCACCCGCTTCGGCCTCCCAAAGTGCTGGGATTACAGGCATGAGCCACCGCGCCCAGCCTTAAACTTTTAAAATTGTTATCTGTCATGAAGATCTGTGATCAGTGATCATCGATGTTACTTTTTTTTTTCTTTTTTGAGATGGAGTCTCGCTCTGTCGCCCAGGCTGGAGTGCAGTGGTGCGATTTCGGCTCACTGCAAGCTCTGCCTGCCGCGTTCACGCCATTCTCCTGCGTCAGCCTCCCGAGTAGCTGGGACTACAGGTGCCCGCCATCACACCTGGCTAATTTTTTTGTATTTTTAGTAGAGACAGGGTTTCACCGTGTTAGCCAGGTTGGTCTCAATCTCCTGACCTCATGATCCACCCACCTCGGCCTCCCAAAGTGCTGGGATTACAGGCGTGAGCCACCGCGCCCGGCCTGATGTTACTTTTGTAATTGTTTTGGAGCGCCACAAAGCACTCCCATATAAGACGGCGAACTTAATATATACATGTTGTGTATAGATGTGTGTTCAGACTGCTGCCAACTGGGTGTCCCCCCATCTCACCACCTCCTCAGGTCTCTCTGTTACCTCAGACACAACAGTATTGAAGTTAGGTCAGTTAATAACCTGATCATGACCATTAAATGTTCAAGTGACAGGAAGAATTGCACATCTCTCACTTTTAAATCAGAAGCTAGAAATGATGGTTTAGTGAGGAAGGCATGTCAAAAGCCAAGATAGGCTGAATACTAGGCCTATTGCACCAAACGTGGCCAAGTTATGAATGCAAGAAAAGGTTCTTGAAGAAAGTTAAAAGTACAACTCCAGTGAACACATGAATGAGAAGAAAACGAAACAGCTTATTGCTGATATGGAAAAGTTTTAGTGACTCAGATGGAAAATCAACCAGCCGCAACATTCCCTTAAGCCAGAGCCTAATCCCAGAGCAAGACTTTCTCTTTTCACTTCTGTGAAGGCTGAAAAAAGTAAGAAGCTGCAGAAGTGAAGTTTGAAGCTAGCACAGATTGGTTCCTAAAGTTCTTGAAACCATCTCTGTAACATTAAAATGCAAGTTGAAGCAAGTGCTAATGTAGAAGCTGCAGCAAGTTATCTAGAAGATGTAGCCAAGATCACTGATGAAGGTGGCTATATTGAACAGATATTCAGTGTAGCCTTATGTCAGAAAAGATGCCATCTAGGACTTCCATAATTAGGAGAAGTCAGTGCCTGGCTTCAAAAGACAGGCTGACTGTTATTAGGAGCTGGTGTAGCTGGTGAATTTAGGTTGATGCCAGTGCTCATTTACCATTCTAATAATTCTAGGGCCCATAAATTTATGCTAAATCTACTCTGCCTGTGCTCTGTCAGTGGATCAACAAAACCTAGATGACAGCACATCTGTTTACAGAATGGTTTAATGAATATTTTAAGGCCACTGTTGAGACCTACTACTCAAAAGATTTCTTTCAGAATATTACTTCTTGACAGTATACCTGGTCACCTAAGAGCTCTGATGGAAATGTATAAGGAGATAAATGTTGTTTTCATGCTTGCTAACACAACATCTATTCTGCAGCCCCTGGATCAAGGAATCATTTTGATTTTCAAGTCTTATTTAAGAAATATGTTTCATAAGGCTCTAGCTGCTATACATAATAATTCCTCTAGTGGGTCTGGGCAGAGTGAATTGAAAACCTTTCGGAAAGGATTTACCATTCTAAATGCCATTAAGAACATTTGTGATTCATGGGAGGAGGTCAGTACATGAACAGGAGTTTGGAAGATGATTCCAGCCCTCATGGATGACTTTGAGGGGTTCAGGACTTCAGTGGAGGCAGGAACTGCAGATGTGGTAGAAATAGCAAGAGAACTCGAATTAAAAGTGGAGCCTGGAGATGTGACTGGATTGCTGTAATCTCATGATAAAACTTGAACAGATGAGGAGTTGCTGCTTATGGATGAGCAAAGAAAGTGATTTATTGAGATGGAATCTACTCCTGATGAAGATGCTGTGAACATTGTTGAAATGCCAATGAAAGATTTAGAATATTACATAAACGTAGTTGATTAAGCAGTGGCGGGGTTGAAGAGAACTGACTGCAGTTTTGAAAGAAGTTCCACTGTGGGTAAAATGCTATCAAACAGTTTGGCATGCTATAGAAAAATCTCTTAGAAAAGGAAGAGCCAGTCGATGCGTCAGACTTCATGGGTGTGTTATTTGAAGAAATTTGCCACAGCCACCTCAGCCTTCAGCAACCACCACCCTAATTAGTCAGCAGCCATCAACATGGAGGCAAGACCCTCCGTCAGCAAAAAGATTAGGACTCCCTGAAGGCTCAGATGATTGTTAGCATTTTTTAACGATAAAGTATTTTTTAAATTAAGGTATGAACATTGTCTTTTAGACATAATACCATTTCACACTTAGTAGACTGAAGTATAGCGTACACATATAAAAGTTAATATGTGCTGGAAAACCAGAAAATTTGTGTGACTCGCTTTATTGCCACGGTCTGGAACCAGACCCACAATACCTGCAATGTTATGCTTGTGGCTGATTTTTCATAGAATGTTTGTGTCTCTTTGACTTTTTTATTTTCAAAATTTAGGATTGCAGGTGACTCTCCATTGGCTTATTTCAGAATGACTGGGGTTAGGGTGTTTGCTAATTGCATGCCAGTGGTCAGGGAAGAAGGGAAAACTCTTGCACTTTAGAGGCCATCTGCCTCCAAGTAGAGCTCCAACTGTCAGGCCACTGTCCCTCTGTGGGGAGGGTGGGGATTGGTCCTGTGGCTTGTAGTTCTTGCCATATAGATTAAGAATGCGCTCCGTCGGCATTCTTCATTGTGAATTAGAGGATTGATGAGGATTTAACCCTGCTGTGATTTCTATGAATGGACTGTAGATCCCAGGGTGTGGGATCTTTCCTAACTCGAGAATGACAAAAATTACCTGTCACAGAGTGCTGTTACACCAATCAGTAGTTATTTATTGTGTTTTTTAGGGTTTATTTTGTTTGTTTGATAACCTCTTTTCCATTTTTTTCCTTGTTGTCTTTTACTTGTTTTTTTGTTTTTGTTTTTGTTTGTTTTTTTGAAGTGGAATCTCACTGTCACCCAGGCTGGAGTGTGCAGTGGTGAGATCTCGGCTCACTGCAACCTCTGCTTCCTGGGTGTACAAGCAAGTGATTCTCGGATTACAGGTGCCTGCCACCATGCCCAGCTAATTTTTGTATTTTTGGTAGAGACAGGGTTTCACCATGTTGGCCAGGCTGATCTTGAACTCCTGACCTCAAGTGATCTGCCTGCCTCGGCCTCCCAAAGTGCTGGGATTATAGGCGTGAGCCACCATGTCTGGTGTCTTTTACTTATTTTATTATTGGTTCAAGTTTTTACCTGAGAGAGGGAAAGAGGGTGGTAATTCTAACAGTGATAATTTTGATTTATATGGTACTTAGCTGTTTGCAGACTTACTGTGGGACATTCCCGTGTGGTGGCAAGGTAGGTTAACTCCACTTTTGCAGGTGAAGAATGTGAGACATATGGGTTAAATAACTTGCCCAAGTCACAGAACAAGTGGCAAGACTAGGAAGTATTTAGATTTCTTAATTCTAAATGTAGTACTTTTTCCAACAGATGACCCAGAAGAATCAATAGAAAACAAATTTAATAGTGGAAGCAATTGTATGTACAAATAAAATTGTATTTTTTGTTCACTTCGCTTACTAAAATAAAATCCTATTTCTAGATGATTTTCTAAACATGTTTTTCTTGGTCTCTTTGTTCAAGTCATTTAGTTTGACTCTAGGTAAGATAGTACTACTCAATGTTCTTTCTGTCACTTCAGGAGAGAGATGGTGTGCACCAGTTGATACCCAATGTTCCCTTGTTCTTCTCCCTGATATTACATCAGAGAAGTCCCCAGTTGAGAAGGGAGGAGGAAAGTTTTATGGTTACTGTTCCTCAAATCTCTTGGGAAAGACAGCAAACTGCTGTCAGGAGTAGTTTTCTTTTGTCTCAGTGTCTGTTACATTTATACATGGCACCCTCCTTATCATAGTTATGGCTTGCACCCTAAAATAAGGTCTAGAGCGACAGACATTTACAAAGTTCTTTTTTTTTTTTTTTTTGAGACAGAGTCTCATTCTGTTGGCCAGACTGGAGTGCAGTGGCACGATCTCGGCTCACTGCAACTTCTGTCTCCTGGGCTCAAGCAATTCTCCTGCCTCAGCCTCCCGAGTATGTGGGACTACAGGCATGCGCCACTATGCCTGGCTAATTCTTGTATTTTTTTTAGTAGAGGTGGGGTTTCACCATGTTGGCCAGGCTTGTCTTGAACTCCTGACCTCGTGATCCGCCTGCCCTGCCCTCCAAAAGTTCTGGGATTTACAGGCGTGAGCCACTGCACCCGGCACAAAGTTCTTATGCTACCGAAATGATCTTTTTGTTCTTCTGACCCTAATTATTAGGTTTTCTGACCCTAAATTAATTTGCTAATTCTTGATGCTCTTCTTGGATACTTAGATGTAACTATTTCACCTTAGTTTGGAGTTAGCATTTTGATGTTTTTAATATATTTGAAATAATCCTGCAAACTATTTTTTGGTTTGGGCTTTTAAGTGGGACGCTCAATCTTCAGAAGGACTTTTAGCTTATGGACACTTAAAAAAAGCAAGAACTAGCACATTGTTTCTTGGTATTTTGGAATTGTGGTGAGTTTGAGGCAACCGTGGAAGTGTAGAGTGTGTTGACTCACCTCCGCTCCTCCTAACTCCTGTGTTCATTTCACAGGAATTAATCGTCCAGACAATATTCCTCCCATGCCTGCATCCCCAGCCATATGGAGAGGACCCCATAAACTGTAAAAAGGTTCATTGGCTTTTATCTGGAGGGGACTAAACCCATAGAACTCGGTTCTGCTTTTTGCTTCATTTGACAGGTTGACCTATGGTGTTGGTACGTCCAGTAAAATCAAGTCTAAATGCTTTGGTTGACTGCATTTCTCATTGCTTTGCTCAGGAAGGCCAAGGACACATTAAAATCTGTTTGTCCCCTCCTATATTTTCTTTCTAAGGTTGTTAGCCAGCACTTTTGTTTTACAGTGTGTTTTTGTTTGGACTCGACTTCTGCTCGTAAATTAGGATGTGGTCAGTTAAGAGCATTTTGAATTTTAAACGTGTCTGTTTCACTGGTTTTGTGTCTCCATGTTTATGTATAGGGAAAGTAAGTTTTCATGTTTTTACATTTTGTTTGTACTAAACTTAAGTGCTTTCTTTCAAGGGCTAGAGGCATTGAAAGTAATTTTAAAAACTCTAAAGAAACCTTTTTATTCTCATTGCTTACATTTTTAATAACAAGTTAGGTAGCTTTTATTCTTCAGAAGTGGGATTTATTATGTAAAGCCACTTTTTGGAAGAGGTGAAAATTAACCTGCCTTTCCTTATGCCTCAGTGAGAGGTGAGGTTCAGAGCAGAGAATGCAGGTAGGGATTATGGAAACCCTTTCTTGGTATTAATTTTCCTCACAGATTAAAACTTTTGGTCTTCATCTGTTACCTTTACATTTGTCAGAAAGAGAATTTATATTGTCAACTTAATTCACCCAGTGTTCGATTGCTTGCTCTGTGCGTGGCAGTAAGAGAACTAAGGTCCCACGCTGTGGGGGAAATAGAAGGGTAGATAACTCTGGTAATGCTTATCATGGCTTGTGTTCTAGGAAGGTGTTAAGGGAAAAGTGCGATTTGCACTGGACTTGAAAGGTGAGTGGTATGTCAGCAAAGCTGGTATTATTCACGCAGAAGGACCAGGCTGAACAAACGAAAAGGTGCAGAAGGTGCCTGCTGGGTGTGCTGGGAATACACAGAACATTGCTAAGAACAGTAGAAGTTAGGGCACATTCCTTGTTAGTCCCAGCCTGTCTTCCTTACTGACTGGCTGTATAACCTTATGAGAGTTACTAAACTTTCTGAGCCTTTGTTTCCTCATCTGCAGAATGGCTAGTTACTGCATAATAGAGTTAAGATTAAATGAGACTATAATATATTGCATTGCAGCTGGGTGTGATGGCTCACACCTGTAATCCTAGCACTTTGGGAGGCCGAGGCAGGTGGATGACTTCAGGTCAGGAGTCCGAGACCAGTCTGGCCAACATGGTTAAAACCTCGCCTCTACTAAAAATACAAAAATTAGCCGGGTATTGTGGCACAAGCCTGTAATCTCAGCTACTTGGGAGACTGAGGCAGGAGAATTGCTTGAACCAGGGAGGCAGAGGTTGCACTGAGCCGAGATTGCACCAGTGCACTCCAGCCTGGACGACAGAGGGAGACTCTGTCTCAAAACAAACAAAAAATATTGCATTGCACATAATTTAAACACTCAATAAAAGTAGTTGCAATTATTGTTTTCTTTTAAATTTTATTTGTTTTAAAATTAGCATGTTGGTCAAACTAGTTTTTTTTTTTTTTTTTCTTTTTGGAGACGGAGTCTTGCTCTGTTGCCCAGGCTGGAGCGCAGTGGCACGATCTAGGCTCACTGCAAGCTCCGCCTCCCGGGTTGCTGGGACCACAGGTGCCCGCCACCACGCCGTGCTAATTTTTTTGTATTTTTTTTAGTAGAGATGGGGTTTCACCGTGTTAGACAGGATGGTCTCGATCTCCTGACCTCGTGATCCGCCCGCCTCGACCTCCCAAAGTGCTGGGATTACGGGCGTGAGCCACTGCGCCCGGCCGATCGAACTAGTTGCTGAAAGATGACTATGCCCTGTAATCCCACCCCCAAAACATCTGTTGTCAGCAGTTGAATGAATATCAGTCGTCTTTCTAATTTTCATCTCTGGCACCTTTGGTGCTGGTGGTACGTTGTTTTTTTTTTGTTTTGGTACAATCATGCCTCAGTTAACAACAGAATATTTCTAAGAAGTGCATCATTGAGTGATTTTTGTCGTTGTTCTAACATCTTAGGATGTACTTACACACACCTAGCCTGGGTGTAGCCGACTGCCCATCTAGGCTATGTGGTATAGCCTATTGCTCCTAGGATACAAACCTGTACCGCATGTTACTGTACTGAATGCTGTAGGAGATTGTAAAAGAGTGGTAAGTATGTATCTGCATATGTCTAAACATAGAGAAGGTACAGTAAAAATAAGGTATAAAAGATAAGGAAGTTGTTCTGGGTGAGTCAGTGAGTGAATGGTGAATGAAGGTAAAGGCCCAGGACGTTACTGCACACTACTGTAGATGTATAAACACTGTACATTTGGACTACACTAAATTTATTTTTTAAAGTTTTCTTGTTTTGATATTATTAACCTTAGATTACTGTAACTTTTTTTTTTTTTTTTTTGAGACGGAGTCTCTCTCTGTCGCCCAGGCTGGAGTGCGGTGGCTTGATCTTGGCTCACTGCAAGCTCCGCCTCCCGGGTTCACGTCATTCTTCTGCCTCAGCCTCTCGAGTAGCTGGGACTACAGGTGCCCGCCACCACACCTGGCTAATTTTTTGTATTTTTAGTAGAGACGGGGTTTCACCGTATTAGCCAGGATGGTCTTGATCTGCTGACCTTGTGATCCACCCGCCTGGGCCTCTCAAAATGCTGGGATTACAGGCATGAGCCACCAGTCCCTGGCCAGATTACTGTAACTTTTTTACTTTAAAAACTTTAAAAATTTGTAACCTTTTGACTCTTGTAATAACACTTAGCTTAAACCACAAATACATTGTGCAGCTGTTCAAAAATATTTTCTGTCATTGTGTTATTCTATAAACTTTTTTATGATTATTATTAATTACTCTTAGAGATAAGGTCTTACTCTGTTCCAGGCTGGAGTGCAGTGGCACAGTCATAGCTCCCTGTAACCTCAAACTCCTGGGCTCAAGCAACCCTCACTTAAGCCTCCTGAGTAGCTAGGACTACAGGTGCATACCACCGTGCTTGGCTACGTTTTTTTAGTTTTTATAGAGCTGGAGTCATGCTATGTTGCCCAGGCTGGTCTCAAACTCCTGGCATCAAGCAATCCTTTCTCCTCTGCCTCCCAAAAGTTCTGGAATTGTAGGTGTGAGCCACCAGGCCTAGCCACTTTATAAGCTTTTTTTTCTATTTATTATCATTATTTGAGACAGAGTCTTGCTGTGTCGCCCAGGTTGGAGTGGAATGGTGCAGTCTCAGCTCACTGCAGCCTCCATGTCGCGAGTTCAAGCGATTCTCCTGCCTTAGCCTCCCAAGTAGTTGGTACTACAGGCACACGCCATTACACCTGGCTAATTTTTGTGTTTTTTTTAGTAGAGACGGGGTTTCACCGTGTTGGCCAGGCTGGTCTGGAATTCCAGACCCCATGTGATCCACCCACCTTGGCCTTCCAAAGTACTGGGATTACAGACGTGAGCCACCTCACCGAGCCATATTTAAATATTTTTTATTTTTTATTTTTTCACTTTTTAAACACTTTTGTTAAAAACTAAGACACAAACACATGCATTAGCCTAAACCTACACAGGGTCAGAATAATCAATATCACTGTCTTCCAGCTTCACATCTTGGCCCACTGGAAGGTCTTTAGGGTCAGTAACACACATGGAGCTATCATCTCCTATGATAACAGTGTCTTTTGTTTGTTTGCTTTGGTTTTTTTTTTGAGACAGTCTCTCTCTGTCGCCCAGACTGGAGTGCAGTGGCATGATCTCGGCTCACTGCAACCTCCACCTCCCAGGTTCAAGCGATTCTCTGCCTCAGCCTCCTGAGTAGCTAGGACTTATAGGCACATGCTCCCACACCCAGCTTTAGTTAACTATTTTTATAAGTAGAATACATAGTATACATAACATAGAATTCTACATAGGATATGTAAACCAGTAACATAGTTTATTTTCAAGTATTATGTACTGTACATAGTTGTATGTGCTATGCTTTTATACCACTGGCAGTATATTAGGTTTACACTTGCATGACCATAAACAAGGAGGTAATATGTTGCATTATGACAGCTACAGCATCACCAGGCAATAGGAGTTTTTCAGCTCCATTGTACTCTGATGGGACCACCATTGTGTACGTGGTCATTGTTGACAGAAATGTGTTATGTAGCACGTGACTATTTTTATTGCTGTTGCTTCAACTTTAAGGTGTTTGGGAGGCAGGGAAGGGAAAGCTGTGTGGTACACCTGGAAGACAAGTCTGCATGTGCTGTACTAATAATTGGGAGCCAGTGAAGGTTTTAAAATAGGGGGTGAATTAATCAGATCTTTTTCAGTAAGATGCTGAAATGCAAGCTGGATTGGAGGGAAGTCTAGTAGCAGAGCAACAAGTGTTTGCTTGGCTGCTGTTTGAGGACCTTGTAGATGTGAGACATGTTTGTTACATGCCTTCAACAATACATGGCTCAGCTGGGGAGATAAGGCATTCATACCAAGTGGGGAAATAAGGACACAGCCACCAGGTAATGGTGTATGGACAAGAAGTGCTGTAGCTGTTTGGGGAAGGCAAGATCACCAAGCTGAGCCGTTTTCCTGAAGCCTTCAGTGAGGAAGCCAAATGGCCTTGAGGAATGACTCAGATTTGGAAAGTGTTTTGGGGAGAGGCCAAGCACAAATCAAGAGGTCGGAGCGCATGGTCTGTGTGGAGTGGTGGGTTTGGCCAATAGTGAGCAGTATGGTTGGAAAGGAAAATTGCCGTGGCCTTCAACAAACCTGTTGTTACGCACCCTATCTTCTGACCCTCTCTCTTCACTGTACTGTACCTGCGTTACTCTCTTGCAGTTTGAGGCTTTTCAGGATAGAACAGTGTCCTAGTTATTTTCCCAGGTCTAGTAAACAGCCCAGCACATAGTAGATGCTTAAAAACAACAATAAAAGAATGATTGGATATTTGCTGTTTATGGAAGTTACAGACTGGATATCCTGCCGTTCCCTTAAACTTAGATCTCAAATAAAATCCTAATATCACCTCTCTCCTTCCCTTTTTTATTCTGTGCTAAGTTTAAACAGGTTAGGTGCCCCTCTGCTCCCACAGCTGTGTGCTTACCTTGCCATTCCATAATTATGGACATCTCTGCTGTGATCATACTGCATGACTCTCACCAGCACGTTGGATGTCCAACATGTCACATTTGCTTGGGACCCCCCCACTGCCTTTCCTCCTTCCTACTTCTTCACTCTCCTTTTCTGGCTTCTTTTCCTCTTCTCCACCTTCTAAATGATAGAGTGATTGCAGGGATCAGTCACTCCAAGTTAGCCTCTAGACCAGTGGTTTTAAATCTTTTTGTTCAGCCATACCAAATGCCGGACAAGTACAAACACACTACACCGTCTTGTGCACACAGACACAACAGAAACAAAAGTTTCACAAAACGGTTCTTATACTTCATGAGCCGTGGACTCTGTTATTTTCCATTCTGCTCTATTTCATTTTTTTTTAAGTGCTGTTCATGACCCACTAAATTGATTTCACAGCCTGCAGTTTGAAAAACTGCTCTGGGTGATCTCATCTACTCTGTTGGCTTTAAATACTACCTCTGTGCTAATGACCTTCCCATTTTTATCTCTACTCCACCTTTCCTTGGAGATCCTGTCGCATTGGCTGTCTCCCTGCTGTTTCCATGTGGATGTGCAATGGGAATCGCGTGTTGCCATGTTTGGCAAAGCACTCTTGATTCCCTTTACCAGCCTCGTTCCTCTTCACAAATGGTGCAGTGTTTGCAGTTGTTCTGTAAGGGATGGTGAATGGAGTACAAGCTCCCCAGTCACTGCCTAAGCTCAGATCTGAGGCCTTGGGCAGCTACACAACCTCTCTCTACCATGTTGTCTTCATTTGAATAAAGTGGGGTTGTCACTTGTACCTCTTGGGATTATTGTGACAGTTGAATGAATTTTCACCTGAAAAGACATGGAGCAGTGGCTGGCACATGGCTTGTGTTTAACTAGTGTTGGCTGCTGCTGTTTATCATTGTTGTTATGACTCTCATGTCCACTTCTGATCCGTTAGCAATTTCTGTTGGCTCTGACTTCAGACTGTGTCCGTTTTGACTGTGTGTCACTACCTCCATCAACACCACATTCACCCATGCAGCCAACGTCCCTTAACCAGACTACCAACTAACTAATTCCCTGCTCTGTCCTTGCCCCTCCCCTGGTCTGTTTTCCACAAAACAGCCAGAGGAGCCATTTAAGAACTGAAACCAGATCATGCCACTCTATAGTTTAAAACCCTCCAAAGGCTTCTAATAAAATCTGAACTTCCCCATGTGGCTCTTACTTTTTATAAGACCTTTCACTGGTACTTCACAAACAGTAACATATGTGTGACTTGCTAGTGACCTTGTTAACATGCAGAATCTGATCCTGTAGGTCTGTGGGGCCTGAGACACTACATCTCTAATAAGCTTGACCAGGTGAATGTGGTAAATATCAGCAGTAGTGGGATGGGTTGCCATCAGTCTTCTTCTTATGCAATGTCCTGGGAAGAATACAGCACCATGTGTCTGGTATTGCCGCTAAGGAAGCATGACCTGAGTCTGGTCACGAGGAAATACAGATCAGATTGAGGGTTATCCTGCAAAATGAAAAGACTGTACTCTGGCAGGGACATGGAAGTCAGGAAGAGAAAAGGGAACTATTCCAGATTGATTGACACTGGTGAGATGTAGCTCTGGGGTAGACTCCTGGACTAGAAAGGAAAGACATTGTTGGGACAGCTGACAAAATTCAAATGGGGTCTATGGATTGGATTGAGAGTGTAGTATCAGTGTTGATTTCCTGATGTGGAGGCTTGTATGCTGGTTATGGAGGAGAATGTCCTTGTTTTTGGAAATAACGCACTAGAGTATTGAGCAACAATGGAGCTTCATGCCTTCAGCCTGCTCTCAAAGGGGTCAGGAAAAGATAATGGAGCAAATGAGGTAAAGCATCAGTTGGAGAATCTCGTTGAAAGAGGGTATGTGAGCCCTTTGAACTATTTTTGCACTTTTCTGTACATTTGAAGTAATTTAAAATTACTATTTTTTTTTGAGAGAGGCTGTTGCTCTGTCTCCCAGGCTGGAGTGCAATGGAACGATCTTAGCTCACTGCAGCCTCCAGAGTTCAAGTGATTCTTGTGCCTCAGCCACTCGAGTAGCTAGGATTACGGGCATGTGCCACCATGCCCAGCTAATTTTTGTATTTTTAGTAGAGACGGGGTTTCACTGTAATGGCCAGGCTGGTCTTGAACTCCTGGCCTCGTGTGTTCTGCCTGCCTTGGCCTCTCAAAGTGCTGGGATTACAGGCGTGAGCCACCACGCCCAGTCTTAAAAATTATTTTTTAATATCCTATTGAGATTTTGACTGGAACCTATTAGAATTTTATAAACTAATATGTGGAGACTTAACGTCTTTACAATACTAGCCCTTTTTATCTAGCTATACCATTTGTTCTGCTAGTTTGTTTCTTTCCTTTTGTTTTGAGCTTTTTTGGGTTGTTCAGTGAAGTCTCTAATTTTCATATAGCTTTTGCCCACTTCTGCTTTGGATTGGTCATTGATATCTTTTGAATTTTAATTCAGAATTGTATTTGTTTGTTTTATTATTATTTCTTTTTAAGAGACAGAATCTCACTCTGTCACCCACGCTGGATGGAGTTCAGTGGCGTGATCTTGGCTCACTGCAACCTCCACCTCCTGTGTTCAAGCGATTCTCCTGCCACAGCCTCCTGAGTAGCTGGGATTATAGGTTTCCGCCACCGTATGTGGCCAGTTTTTGTATTTTTAGTAGAGACAGCATTTCACCATGTTGGCCAGGCTGGTCTTGAACTTCTGACCTCAGGTGTGATCTGCCTGCCTCAGCCTTCCGAAGTGCTGGGATTACAGGCTTGAGCCACCAGGCCCGGCCTCAAAATTATATTTGAATGAATTATAAAATGGAACATCCTTTTAGCCTATAAGTGGCAACACTAATTACCTCCCTTTTGCCTCTGAAGGTTTAGAAATTATGTATTAATACAACCTTTGAATGAAAAAATATATTCAATGACATCTCAGAAGCCCCTACGCTCAGCATTTAAGAAAATCCCACAGGAGCCTCTAGCTAGCCCCAGAGATGTCCTGCTCCCACCCTTCTCCTGCCCCCTTTTTGGGAACTGTTTGGCCATCCTGCTCACATATGTGGTCATCTGAAGTGATCTTGGGATGCCCCTGTGAAAATAAGACAGATAGCCATGGAGTGGGGGTGGGGCCAGGATAGGGCCCAGGTGCCTTTGGTCTGCTCAGGAGCAGATTTATAGCATCTCCTTGCAGAGTTACAGAAGCATGTGGTGGATATAGGATGCTTGCAGCCTCTTGGCTGTTTGAAATTATGCCTAATAATAGGCCTGCCGACTGTGGGTTGGAATTCAGCTGACTTTAGGCCTGATTCTCAAAAAATAATTTTGAGCTAGTGACCCTGTGTGCACACTTGCCTGGGCACTGTGGTGTCCAACAACCCTGTGTGTGGCATTGGCACCAGGTTTCCTGAAGTAGAGGTCCTGTCTGGCAGGCTCCTCCCTTCCCTCCTGCTTCTGACTTGTGGGGTCCCCTGTGCCTCTATTTCTTTCCCTTGGGCAGAGCAGCACTTTGCTGTCAGTAGGAACAGATAAAGCTCTGATACTGTTGAGATAGTTCAAGGGTTGTAATTTTTTTTTTTTTTTTTTTTTTGAGACGGAGTCTCGCTCTGTCGCCCAGGCCGGACTGCGGACTGCAGTGGCGCAATCTCGGCTCACTGCAAGCTCCGCCTCCCGGGTTCACGCCATTCTCCTGCCTCAGCCTCCCGAGTAGCTGGGACTACAGGCGCCCGCCACCGCGCCCGGCTAATTTTTTGTATTTTTAGTAGAGACGGGGTTTCACCTTGTTAGCCAGGATGGTCTCGATCTCCTGACCTCATGATCCACCCGCCTCGGCCTCCCAAAGTGCTGGGATTACAGGTGTGAGCCACCGCGCCCGGCCTAAGGGTTGTAATTTTTAAATGAGGTTAATGACATTTTGGCTGAGCACTGTGGCTCACCCTGTAATCGCAGCACTTTGGGAAGCCAAGACAGGTGGATCACTTGAGGTCAGGAGTTCAAGACCAGCCTGGCCAACATGGCGAAATGCTGTCTCTACTAAAAATACAAAAATTAGCCGGACGTGGTGGCAGGCACCTGTAATCTCAGCTACTTGGGAGGCTGAGGCAGGAGAATTGCTTGAACCTGGGAGGCAGAGGCTACAGTGAGCCAAGATTGCACCACTGCACTCCAGCAGTGCAGTGTAAGACTCTGTCTCAAAAAAAAAAAAAAAAAGTGATTATTTCCTACACAAAAATTAATGTAAATAGAAATGAAAAGGGGAAAAAATACTTCCACAACACTGCCATCTTGGATAGTCCAGAAGTTTTCCTTTTTTCTCCATTATTCCCTTTGGCCTGGGACTAAATGAATGCCTCATTTTCAGATAGTTATAATCATAGCACAGGTATAAGTTTACGTGAGCTGCTCTTTTCATCTGATACTATGTAATTTTCTATGGTGCTAGAGTCTTTGCAATTGTTTAAAATGATTATGTACTATTTCTTTGAGTGGATATACCATAATTTGTTTAATCAATTTTCAAATAGGTTGTTGCCAGTTTTTTCTTCTAATACATATTACTGGAGTGAATATGTTGGTATTTTGTTTTTTTGTTTGGTTGACTGTTTTATTACCAGTTTTCTTTTCCAAGAGTCATAATCATTTATGGTGCTTTTTTTTTTTTTTTTTTTTTTTTTTTGTACCAGCTTTAGCCTAACCTAACCAGATGGGATATCATCTTTTAAATTTTTTAGGAAATTTTTTTTTTGAGACAGAGTCTCGCTTGTTGCCCAGGCTGGAGTGCAGTGGTGCGATCTCACTGCAATCTCTGCCTCCCAGGTTCACGCCATTCTCCTGCCTCAGCCTCCTGAGTAGCTGGGACTACAGGTGCCTACCACCACGCCCGACTAATTTTTTTGTATTTTTAGTAGAGACGGGGTTTCACTGTGTTAGCCAGGATGGTCTCAATCT
This sequence comes from Homo sapiens, assembly GCF_000001405.40. NCBI lineage: Eukaryota > Metazoa > Chordata > Mammalia > Primates > Hominidae > Homo > Homo sapiens. The sequence continues at coordinate 145,253 of NW_014040931.1, read as the reverse complement.
CCTGACCTCGTTATCCGCCCACCTCGGCCTCCCAAAGTGCTGGTATTACAGGCGTGAGCCACTGCGCCTGGCCAGGAAATGTAATAGTTACAAATTTATCCCCCTAGTTTTTGCCTGCATGTATTTGGTCATGATTCAAGGTGGATATTTTTTATGGCTTACATGGCTAATATGAGTTTTGACACCCAGAAAGCAATCTTTTTAGATATGCAGCATTCTTGTGGGTTTCTTTCCTTCTAGACAAGGAACTGACTTGCGAATTCTGAGTTGCTTTCAGACTCTTCTGATCTCCCAAGTCAGGGAGGAAGCCAGCACCTTCATTACACTTCATTTTATTCTGAAGTCCTATTACACTAAGATAACTTTTAGCCACTGAGAAAAATATAGGCTCTGCCCATGTGCAAACAGGACATAGAGTATGAAATATTAAGTCACTGAGCAGATCTTTATGCTTGATACACTTAGGAAGATCCCACATTTGCACATACACAAAACAAACGATACAGGTGTTACAGATATATCTAGGTACAAGCAGTCAACTAAATTCTAGCAAGATTCCTCAAGATTCCTTTCTAAAATGCTTCCCAATGTCACAGATTGGGAAATACAGACTGGGTTTTGCAGTGGGCATATTATATATCTTATCTCATTGTTTACCATGAATATTTTGCTTGTTTAACTTCTGAGTCTCCATTTACAAAAAGGATTACTAACATTTCTTAGATCATGGTAAGGATGAAATGCATTAACATTTGTGTAAAGCACCTGATAGTGTGTCACATGTGTGAGGCATGGCAATAATTGATAGCTACAGTTATTAGAGATCTGACCCAAGTGTGTGTCAGGATTTTCAAAAATATGCATTTGGATCTTCCTTGCCTAATTTTGTGGTACAGTGAAAGAAAGGGTTATGGGCTCTAGAATCAGAAGAATTGGAGTTACAGAATGTCAGCTCCAACTTGTCCTAGAGGAGTGACTTTTGGAAAATTTGGACTTTTGGAAAAAATTACATTAATTTTTCCCCCTCATTCATTAATTGAGTTACAGGTAAAACCACACAGTGACTAACATATATAGATTGCTAAATAAATGGCAATTATTTATTTATTTACTGGGACAGGTCTTACTGTAGCACCCAGGCTGGAGTGTAGTAGCGTGCAGCCTCGGCTCACTGCAACCTCTGCCTCCCAGGCTCAAGTGATCCTCCTGCCTCAGCCTCTGGAGTGGCTGGGACTACAGGCACAAGCCAGCACACCCAGCTAATTCTTTTGTATTTTTTGTGGAGACGGGGTCTTGTTATGTTGCCCATGCTGGTCTCCTGAGCTCAAACAGTCTGCCTGCCTCGGCCTCCCAAAGTGCTGGGATTACAGGTGTGAGCCACTGTGGCCGGCCAGCAATTTTTATTATATCAGTGGTACATACCTTAGATACTGGTTAAAGGTAAATACTTTAATTGGTTTGTTTTTACTAAGCAAGGTAAAGCCAACACATTCTCTGCTTAGAGGAAGATTTGTAGAGAAAATCACATGGATAACACATTTTAGGAGCTCTTAAGATACAGCAGGACACATTCTAAGAGCTCTTAAGAACCATATGATCTCATGTGGCAAGAAGGAATTTATGGGCCTGGGGATGCTTAAAAGGCTCCAAGTTGAGACCAAGGTGAGAGTGGGCCGATGGCACAAAGGGGGCTGAGCAGGCTTGTTTGAGAGGGTGGGGAGAAGCAGAAATTGTGTTGGGAAGATGTCACAGGGCTTCAGGGCCTATGGGGGGGTGTGATGGTGTCAAAATGGCAGTTAAGCAAAAGAAAGTACTGGGAAAGAGAACTTTTCAGGTGTTATTCTAGCCCAAGAAAGATGAAAATGACAGTGACGAGAATGGAATGGGAAAGGACAAATACAGGAAGGAGAGTAGTGTCATGATGAGGTAGCATGGTAAATACAGAGTCAAAGTGAAAGGTCAGTTTGGGGTTATTCTAAAGCTTCTTGCTTGGGATGATCATGGTTTTCTTTGAGAATAGGCAGTTGGGTCAGTTGAGGAAGAACAACCTTATCTTTGTCATTGAAAATGAGTTAGTTACTGCCTAATAATAAATGCATTTGTTGTCTTTTAGAAATGATTACAGTCACAAGTGACACTGTCCAGAGTCCTTAAGTACTGATCTGTCTAGAGGGCCAGAGGCCTTGCTCTGTCTCTGCATGGTCATTAAAACCTTTGCCATATGGGGCCGGGCGCGGTGGCTCATGCCTGTAATCCCAGCACTTTGGGAGGCTGAGGCGGGCGGATCATGAGGTCAGGAGATCGAGACCATCCTGGCTAACACGGTGAAACCCTGTCTCTACTAAAAATACAAAAAATCAGCCAGGCACGGTGGTGGGCGCCTGTAGTCCCAGCTACTTGGGAGGCTGAGGCAGGAGAATGACGTGAACCCGGGAGGCGGAGCTTGCAGTGAGCCGAGATATCGCCACTGCACTCCAGCCTGGGCAACAGAACGAGACTCCGTCTCAAAAAAAAAAAAAAAAACCCTTTGCCATATGGTTAATAAGCCCTATAGACCCCACATCCTTGGCATTCAGAGCCCAGCACCTGCCTGCAACTCTCTTCATAGTATCTCATCCAATTTTGGACTTTGGGCATTTCTTACTTTCTTGCAACTTGGCTATACATTTTGTCTGACATTTCTAAGTGTTTTGTTGAGGGAGGATTTTTAGTCCCTGTTCTATGTCATAGTGCATGAAATAGAAGTCTCTCATTCCCCAAGTGGCAATAGTCTACTCTGAAATCCTAGGAATGAGAAGAACTCTTATCAGTCAGGGTCCCAGTAGAAAACAGATGGCACATTCAAACTGGGTAATTTAAGGAGTGTTTAATTGTATCATTCAGGGTTCATTCAGGAAAAGAGAAGTTGTCTATTCCGGTATGAATGGTTTTGATACAGGAATTAAGGCTTTACCCAACCCTGGAAGAACTGGAATTGGGAAGGTTCCTGATGATTTCATACTGAAGTGTCATAGTGAATGGTTCTCGTGAGCTCATGGGGAAGCCGCTATGAATCCACGTGTGCTGCATCTACCTCCAGGGAATATCATCAACCTCTACGTTTATTTTGCCTTCTAAATCTCTCTTGCACTTCTCATTGCAAACTCTAACCCAGAACCATGCTGCTAAAGGGTTCTGGAACGGAAGTTCTCAGCTTCTGATCTGCAGAGGAGAGCTTGGAAGGAGGGTGGTCACGATGCTGAGTTGACAACAATGCAGAAGATTAATAAAGGGACTGGAAAGGGTGAGCAGGGTTTGGGGAAGCCAACAGGAAAGTGAAGTCTTCTGTGCTAGCAGTAGCAGGGAGTTGTTACCTACTGCCTTCTAGACCTGAAGGGCAGAGGATGAAGTGGTTCCTGGAGTTTGGAGAAAGTGGCTATATGTTGAGGTTGCCCGATGGAGCTGCAGCCATTGGTGGAGGGTCTCAGCCAGCCTCAGTAACCTCGGGGTGGGAGCCAGGAGAGTAAGTTCCTCTCACTTTCCTCCTCTCCTGCCTCTTACCAGCCAAACTGGGTCAGAAGGCAAGGGTGGTGGGGCCTGTCAGTTGTCCTTCCATTGTCCGTTCTAGGGCATAGAGTAGGGTGGAGATGGGTGAGGAGAGGCTGTGGGGGCAAACAGGGAATATCCCTTACACAGGCTATAACTAGATGCATCATTGTCAATGTCTTGAGGATTTAAAGGCAAAGAAGGAGAATAAGCAGAAAATCATGACAGAGGATGAAAAAATTAGCTGGGGCCAGGCACAATGGCTGAATTCTAGCACTTTGGGAGGTTGAAACAGCAGGATGGCTTGAGCCCAGGAGTTTGAGACCAGCCTGGACAGCACAGTGAGACTCTGTCTCTATTTTTAAGAAATTATAAAAATTAGCCATAGTCCCAATTATTTTTTAAAAATTAGCCAGGGGTCCCATGCCTGTGGTCCCAGCTACTTGGGAGGCTGAGGCAGGAGGATTGCCTGAGCTGGGAGTTGAGGCCGCAGTGAGCCTGTGGTCATGCCACTGCACTCCAGCCTGGGCAACAGAGTGAGACTCTCTTTCCAAAAAAGAGAATGGATTGGGAAGTGGGATGTTGTTGGACATATGGAGGAAGAAGGACAGAGAAAGCCAATGTTGGTTTTCTATAAGAGGGCAAGGTCATCAGCCCTCTAATAGGATGGGGAGAACAAGTCTGCAGCTGGTTATGAGTGAGTTTGTGAGGTCGGCACATGGACTCTGGAATGTTTAGGCACAGAGTTCTGGACCTCACTAATACACCTCCACAGCCCTTCTGAAACTGTTCAGAAAGTTAGGAATATAGGAGAAAAACAGGAAAGGGAGAGTCATTATGGATGGGAAGTACATCGGTAGGCCTCTTTTTTATTTATTTATTGAGACGGAATCTCGCTTTGTTGCCCAGGCTGGAGGGCAGTGGCGCGATCTCTGCTCACTGCAACCTCTGCCTCCGAGGCTCAGGCGATCCTCCTGCCTCAGCCCCCCGAGGTGCTGGGACTACAGGCACGCATCACCATGCCTGGCTAATTTTTGTATTTTTTATAAAGATAGGGTTTCGCCATGTTGCCCAGGCTGGTCTCGAACTCCTGAGCCCAAGTGATCTGCCCGCCTTGACCTCCCAAAGTTCAGGGATTACAGGGGTGAGCCACTGTGCCCAGCCTCTTTTTTAGAGTGTGTATGCAAGTTCCTTAGGTGACTTATTCCTTTGAGGTATCAGATTTTCCTTACTATTTGTATTCATTTAAACAAAGGAATTCAGGCACTTATTATTACTAATCACAGTGCTTTAAAACTGACTACACTGATGCTTTTTTTAAGATGATGGGATAAAATTGGAATTATCTCTATTAGCTTTTTTTTTTTTTTTTTTTTTTTTTTGAGACAGGGTTACTGTCACCCAGGGTGGAGCACATTGGCACATTCATAGCTCGTTGCAGCCTCGAACTCCTGAGTTCAAGCAATCGTCCTACCTCAGCCTCTTGAGCAGCTGGGACTGTAGGCACACCTCATGACACTGTGCATTTAAAATTTTTTTTAACCCAGGCTGGTCTTGAACTCCTGACCTCAAGCGATCCTCACACCTCAGCCTCCCAAAACACTGGGATTACAGGTGTGAGCCACCACACCCAGCCTATTACTTATTTTATAGCTCCAGGTTTACATTTTCTGTCGTTGGTATATGCTAGTTGGTTTTCTTAATTGGTTTACTTGGCATTCCTAAAAAAGATAAACCTGGGCAACCACCTTCTCCTACTCAGGTGCTTCATGTATACTAAGAATATTTAGCATGACTGGAACCCTGCAGGAGGTATTTGGCCTTGGATTTTTTTTTTTTCTTTTTCATAAAGTAGAACCATAACAATAGGGAAAGGGGTATCATACAGGACAGGGAATCTGCAGGGGAAGGCTGAGAACAGACCTAAGAAGGAGTCCTTCCTGTATCTGTTTTCCCTGTCTGGAGATAGGGCAGCCTCAGGCCTGATACCCTGATGTTTAAAGTGGCCTTTAGCTCTTGGTGGCTCCTATTTAGGAAGAATATGGAGCAAGTGGCAACATTGTTTATACACTCAGATCTTCAGAAGCCTGATTTTATTTCCAGAAGGATTAATTAAACAACATGTAACATAGCTTTTTATAGAGAATATCTCTTGAGAAGGCTTTTCATTAGTTTAAACTGCTAGCTTTAATGTTTTTGTTCAATTTAGCCCCCATTCAGCCTTGTTTTATCTAGAGAAGGCCACTGGCACTGAGGAGTAGAGCAGGAGCACATCACAAGGGGAAAAAATTAATACTCATGTAGACAGAATTGCTCTTGATAGTTCTAAGAATGATGGGGAGCGGGTGAAGAGCCAGCTGGAACAGTATGGAGGTCCTTATAAGAGGGTGGCAGTGAAGGGACAGATTTATTGTGGGTGGCTACCCACTTTCAAGGCCAAACTGACAGGACAACTGGTATTTTTTACTGACCATGTGGAAGACCCTCTGGGCAATGTAATGTTAAAAACATGTCCTGCCCCCAGCCCTGCTGCCTAGGAGCTTTGTGAACTCTGCTTCTGTTTCCTCATCTGTAAAAGGAGCGTGCTAGTGTTGTGAGGATTAAATGAGTTAGTGTATGTGAAGTGCTGGAACAGTGTCAAGCAGCATCATCACCATTTGAATAGCTATTACCTACTGCCCTGCAGATTCACTGGAACAAAGCAACAGAGGCATTTTGAATAGGATGAGAAGTTTCCTTTAGATTCTGACATTATTTGCACATGAATGTTTAGCGATTGTTTTGGGTCACATGACTATATAATCAAGCTTAAGGAAGTAGACCCTTGTCTAGCTGTTTTAGACTTACGATATTTCAAGATATGGGTCAAGCTTTTAGAATTTGGGGTTACTGGCCATCTTCTGCTCTAATCAATATTTACTTTCTGAAGTCTTTCCTCAGTTCTCATGTGGACTCAAGCTGGGTCTTTCCCTTAGAACCGGACTCATGGGATTTTACAGGCAAGGTCTTCAGCATCCTCCAGCTCTGCTTTTAGGTTGATCATATTCTATTTTCACTTTCTATAATTCTCTCATGTCACTCCCACAGCACCATCTCTGAATATGTGAGTTCTAGCCTAGTTCTCTAAGGCCTAGTTCTTACACCATTTAATCATTCACACAGACTCCGGTGTGATGACGTGAGGATTACAGCAAGGAACAGTCAGTTTCTGCCCTTTAAGGAGTTTACATTTTAGTCAGAGGAGAGACAGACAGTAAACAAGTAGCATATATGTGTCTGTTTGGAGTAAGTATGGGGCCAGGCAGGGGATAAAACAGGGGAGGGAGTTACAGCCAGGGAAAAGGTGTGGAGCTGGCTGTTTTTACTAGAATGACCAGGGAATGAGTGACACTTGCCCAAAGACTGGAAGGAGAGCAAGCTATCTGGCTCTGGGAGAAGAACGTGCAGGTGAGAACAGAGTTCCTATGTAGATATGTGGTAGGCCTGTTCCAGGAACAAGGCAACTGTGGGGCTAGAGCAGAGAGTGATAGGGGAGGAGCTCAGAGAGGTCAAGGGGGTGGGAGCAGGGGCCTTTGAGACCAGTTTCCCAAAGAATGAGGTGGGAGCCACTCCAGGGATTGGAGAGGATAAATCTGACTTACCTTTAAAAAGGTTGTTGACTTTCCTGCAGGCAACTCCATTTTCAGCTCCCCTTCAGGGGAACTAGGAAACTAGCTTCATAAACCATTGTAACTAAACTAAACTGTCTATTACACCTCACTTTACCCTATATGTATTTTGGAACTTGTTTTTTTAAGTAATTGGTTCTAAAGTCACTTGGAGCAATTTGGCCTTGTCCCTTTCATCTCTGACTCTGAGGAGACAGGCCCAGGTGAAAGGGGAAAAAATCAGCTTGATTGATTAAGAGGGATTATAATAGGTAATACAAAGTGGTGGCTCAGTCAGATAACTTTGAAAGAGTCTGGGTCCTAGGCTTGATGAATTCCTATTTTCCTCTCTGTTTTTTGCTGTCCTCCAAGATGATTGCTTCTAATTCTTTCATAGTAATGGCCAGTAATAACTGTGAATTTAAAAAACTGGCAAATACAAATACCACATGGCGGGTAAAGGTGCTGGAACTTCTTGGAAACCTCCCAAAATAATCTGGAAGAATAGTCACTGCTATTCACTGGCTTAAGTCTAGCCCTTTGTACCTGGGAATTGAAGGAGAGTGGTGGAGAGAGGGGTGCTGTAGACACAGTCATATGCCAAGAAGAGGTTGACTCCAAAGTTTGTGTGGAACCCATATGGGCTGAGTGTCCTGGAGTCACCAGTCATCACAGGTAGTTGGCAATTATAGTAAAGCTGCAAAAATTTGCACTTGGACATAAGGAATTGGCTGCAGTTCTCTGGCCAGGTCTGTTTCTCAGTGTTGGGGAGTGGCGATCAGCAGCCAGTGTTAAAACCCGCAGTTCAGTGATCACCCTAATACATGAAAGCAGAGAAATGAAAGTAGTGGCTTATGCCTGTAGTCCCAAAACTTTGAGAGGCCGAGGCAGGAGGATCATTTGAAGCCAGGTGTTTGATGCTGCAGTGAACTACGACTGTGCCCCTGCACACTCCAGCCTGGGCAAGAGTGAGACCTTGTCTCAAAAAAAAAAAAAAAAAAAAAAAAAAAAGGATTTGGTTTTTCTTACCCCACACCCCCTCCCCCGCATAACTGGGAGGCTTATTGAAAAATTGCTGTTTTTCATTGACAGTAATAACACAGCCCCATATTTTAATCTGGTTGAGTTTGGGGGCTCATTTGTCTAATAAGGCATTATTAGATATATGAGACATACATGTTTTTGCTGTATTGGGTTTGTATGCACTCAGAGTGCTGCTTTTCATTCTACTACAGATTCTTGCCTCACTCTTTAGGCCATTTCTCTGCATATGTGCATTTTCAGAAGTGGATAGGATAAAATATAAAAGATGAAATTCAAGGTCAGGCGTGGTGGCTCATGCCTGTAATTCCAGCACTTTGGGAGGCCGAGGTGGGCGGATCACGAGGTCAGGAGTTCGAGACCAGCCTGGCCAGCACAGTGAAACCCTGTCTCTACTAAAAATACAAAAAATTAGCCGAGCCTGGTGGCCATGCGCCTGTAGTCCCAGCTACTCGGGAGGCTGAGGCAAGAGAATTGCTTGAACCCTGCAGGCAGAAGTTGCATTGAGCTGAGATCGTGCAATTGCACTCCAGCCTGGGTGACAGAGTGAGACTCTTGTCTCAAAAAACCAAAAAAAAAAAATAGAAATTCAAACCAGTCAGCTTCATCTGGGCCTCTGATTCATCTTTATTCCCTCCATCATCTAGACTTGATTTTATTTGTACCAAGGAGATGCGTGTCTAATGTTTTTCTTTCTTCTATTTCTAGGAGGGCTGTTGGCCTGCTGCTGTGCTGCTGAACAGTATGCAGTCCTTTCGGGAGCAAAGCAGTTACCACGGAAACCAGCAAAGCTACCCACAGGAGGTACACGGCTCATCCCGGCTAGAAGAGTTCAGCCCTCGTCAGGCCCAGATGTTCCAGAATTTTGGAGGTACAGGTGGCAGTAGTGGCAGCAGTGGCAGTGGCAGTGGTGGTGGACGACGAGGAGCAGCAGCTGCTGCGGCAGCGATGGCTAGCGAGACCTCTGGCCATCAAGGTTACCAGGGTTTCAGGAAAGAGGCTGGAGATTTTTACTACATGGCAGGCAACAAAGACCCCGTGACTACAGGAACCCCACAGCCTCCTCAGCGAAGGCCTTCTGGGCCTGTGCAGAGCTATGGACCCCCCCAGGGGAGCAGCTTTGGCAATCAGTATGGGAGTGAGGGTCATGTGGGCCAGTTTCAAGCACAGCACTCTGGCCTTGGCGGTGTGTCACATTATCAGCAGGATTACACTGGGCCTTTCTCTCCAGGGAGTGCTCAGTACCAACAGCAGGCTTCCAGCCAGCAGCAGCAGCAGCAAGTCCAGCAGTTGAGACAACAGCTTTACCAGTCCCATCAGCCCCTGCCACAGGCCACTGGCCAACCAGCATCCAGCTCATCCCATCTACAGCCAATGCAGCGGCCCTCAACTCTGCCATCCTCTGCTGCTGGTTACCAGTTAAGAGTGGGTCAGTTTGGCCAACACTATCAGTCTTCTGCTTCCTCCTCCTCCTCCTCCTCCTTCCCTTCACCACAGCGTTTTAGCCAGTCTGGACAGAGCTATGATGGCAGTTACAATGTGAATGCTGGATCTCAGTATGAAGGACACAATGTGGGTTCTAATGCACAGGCTTATGGAACACAATCCAATTACAGCTATCAGCCTCAATCTATGAAGAATTTTGAACAGGCAAAGATTCCACAAGGGACCCAACAGGGGCAGCAGCAGCAGCAACCGCAGCAACAACAACACCCTTCTCAGCATGTGATGCAGTATACTAACGCTGCCACCAAGCTGCCCCTGCAAAGCCAAGTGGGGCAGTACAACCAGCCTGAGGTTCCTGTGAGGTCCCCCATGCAGTTTCACCAGAACTTCAGCCCCATTTCTAACCCTTCTCCAGCTGCCTCTGTGGTTCAGTCTCCAAGCTGTAGTTCTACCCCATCTCCTCTCATGCAGACTGGGGAGAATCTCCAGTGTGGGCAAGGCAGTGTGCCTATGGGTTCCAGAAACAGAATTTTACAGTTAATGCCTCAACTCAGTCCAACCCCATCAATGATGCCCAGTCCTAATTCTCATGCTGCAGGCTTCAAAGGGTTTGGACTAGAAGGGGTACCAGAAAAGCGACTGACAGATCCTGGGTTGAGTAGTTTGAGTGCTCTGAGTACTCAAGTGGCCAATCTTCCTAACACTGTCCAGCACATGTTACTTTCTGATGCCCTGACTCCTCAGAAGAAGACCTCCAAGAGGCCCTCATCTTCCAAGAAAGCAGATAGCTGCACAAATTCTGAAGGCTCCTCACAACCTGAAGAACAGCTGAAGTCCCCTATGGCAGAGTCATTAGATGGAGGCTGCTCCAGCAGTTCAGAGGATCAAGGCGAGAGAGTGCGGCAACTAAGTGGCCAGAGCACCAGCTCTGACACCACCTACAAGGGTGGAGCCTCTGAGAAAGCTGGCTCCTCACCGGCACAAGGTGCTCAGAATGAACCCCCCAGACTCAATGCTAGTCCTGCCGCAAGAGAAGAGGCCACCTCACCAGGCGCTAAGGACATGCCATTGTCATCCGACGGGAACCCAAAGGTTAATGAGAAGACTGTTGGGGTGATTGTCTCCCGGGAAGCCATGACAGGTCGGGTAGAAAAGCCTGGTGGACAAGATAAAGGCTCCCAAGAGGATGATCCTGCAGCCACTCAAAGGCCACCTAGCAATGGTGGGGCAAAGGAAACCAGTCATGCATCACTTCCCCAGCCAGAGCCTCCAGGAGGAGGAGGGAGCAAAGGAAACAAGAATGGCGATAACAACTCCAACCATAATGGAGAAGGAAATGGCCAGAGTGGCCACTCTGCAGCGGGCCCTGGTTTTACGAGCAGAACTGAGCCTAGCAAATCTCCTGGAAGTCTGCGCTATAGTTACAAAGATAGTTTCGGGTCAGCCGTGCCACGAAATGTCAGTGGCTTTCCTCAGTATCCTACAGGGCAAGAAAAGGGAGATTTCACTGGCCATGGGGAACGAAAGGGTAGAAATGAAAAATTCCCAAGCCTCCTGCAGGAAGTGCTTCAGGGTTACCACCACCACCCTGACAGGAGATATTCTAGGAGTACTCAAGAGCATCAGGGGATGGCTGGTAGCCTAGAAGGAACCACAAGGCCCAATGTCTTGGTTAGTCAAACCAATGAATTAGCTAGCAGGGGCCTTCTGAACAAAAGCATTGGGTCTCTATTAGAAAATCCCCACTGGGGCCCCTGGGAAAGGAAATCAAGCAGCACAGCTCCTGAAATGAAACAGATCAATTTGACTGACTATCCAATTCCCAGAAAGTTTGAAATAGAGCCTCAGTCATCAGCACATGAGCCTGGGGGTTCCCTCTCTGAAAGAAGATCAGTGATCTGTGATATTTCTCCACTAAGACAGATTGTCAGGGACCCAGGGGCTCACTCACTGGGACACATGAGTGCCGACACCAGAATTGGGAGGAATGACCGTCTCAATCCAACTTTAAGTCAGTCGGTCATTCTTCCTGGTGGTTTGGTGTCCATGGAAACCAAGCTGAAATCCCAGAGCGGGCAGATAAAAGAGGAAGACTTTGAACAGTCTAAATCTCAAGCTAGTTTCAACAACAAGAAATCTGGAGACCACTGCCATCCTCCTAGCATCAAGCATGAGTCTTACCGCGGCAATGCCAGCCCTGGAGCAGCAACCCATGATTCCCTTTCAGACTATGGCCCGCAAGACAGCAGACCCACGCCAATGCGGCGGGTCCCTGGCAGAGTTGGTGGTCGGGAGGGCATGAGGGGTCGGTCCCCTTCTCAATATCATGACTTTGCAGAAAAATTGAAAATGTCTCCTGGGCGGAGCAGAGGCCCAGGGGGAGACCCTCATCACATGAATCCACACATGACCTTTTCAGAGAGGGCTAACCGGAGTTCTTTACACACTCCCTTTTCTCCCAACTCAGAAACCCTGGCCTCTGCTTATCATGCAAATACTCGGGCTCATGCTTATGGGGACCCTAACGCAGGTTTGAATTCTCAGCTGCATTATAAGAGACAGATGTACCAACAGCAACCAGAGGAGTATAAAGACTGGAGCAGCGGTTCTGCTCAGGGAGTAATTGCTGCAGCACAGCACAGGCAGGAGGGGCCACGGAAGAGTCCAAGGCAGCAGCAGTTTCTTGACAGAGTACGGAGCCCTCTGAAAAATGACAAAGATGGTATGATGTATGGCCCACCAGTGGGGACTTACCATGACCCCAGTGCCCAGGAGGCTGGGCGCTGCCTAATGTCTAGTGATGGTCTGCCTAACAAGGGCATGGAATTAAAGCATGGCTCCCAGAAGTTACAAGAATCCTGTTGGGATCTTTCTCGGCAAACTTCTCCAGCCAAAAGCAGCGGTCCTCCAGGAATGTCCAGTCAAAAAAGGTATGGGCCGCCCCATGAGACTGATGGACATGGACTAGCTGAGGCTACACAGTCATCCAAACCTGGTAGTGTTATGCTGAGACTTCCAGGCCAGGAGGATCATTCTTCTCAAAACCCCTTAATCATGAGGAGGCGTGTTCGTTCTTTTATCTCTCCCATTCCCAGTAAGAGACAGTCACAAGATGTAAAGAACAGTAGCACTGAAGATAAAGGTCGCCTCCTTCACTCATCAAAAGAAGGCGCTGATAAAGCATTCAATTCCTATGCCCATCTTTCTCACAGTCAGGATATCAAGTCTATCCCTAAGAGAGATTCCTCCAAGGACCTTCCAAGTCCAGATAGTAGAAACTGCCCTGCTGTTACCCTCACAAGCCCTGCTAAGACCAAAATACTGCCCCCACGGAAAGGACGGGGATTGAAATTGGAAGCTATAGTTCAGAAGATTACATCCCCAAATATTAGGAGGAGCGCATCTTCGAACAGTGCGGAGGCTGGGGGAGACACGGTTACGCTTGATGATATACTGTCTTTGAAGAGTGGTCCTCCTGAAGGTGGGAGTGTTGCTGTTCAGGATGCTGACATAGAGAAGAGAAAAGGTGAGGTGGCTTCGGACCTAGTCAGTCCAGCAAACCAGGAGTTGCACGTAGAGAAACCTCTTCCAAGGTCTTCAGAAGAGTGGCGTGGCAGCGTGGATGACAAAGTGAAGACAGAGACACATGCAGAAACAGTTACTGCCGGAAAGGAACCCCCTGGTGCCATGACATCCACAACCTCACAGAAGCCTGGTAGTAACCAAGGGAGACCAGATGGTTCCCTGGGTGGAACAGCACCTTTAATCTTTCCAGACTCAAAGAATGTACCTCCAGTGGGCATATTGGCCCCTGAGGCAAACCCCAAGGCTGAAGAGAAGGAGAACGATACAGTGACGATTTCACCGAAGCAAGAGGGTTTCCCTCCAAAGGGATATTTCCCATCAGGAAAGAAGAAGGGGAGACCCATTGGTAGTGTGAATAAGCAAAAGAAACAGCAGCAGCCACCGCCTCCACCCCCTCAGCCCCCACAGATACCAGAAGGTTCTGCAGATGGAGAGCCAAAGCCAAAAAAACAGAGGCAAAGGAGGGAGAGAAGGAAGCCTGGGGCCCAGCCGAGGAAGCGAAAAACCAAACAAGCAGTTCCCATTGTGGAACCCCAAGAACCTGAGATCAAACTAAAATATGCCACCCAGCCACTGGATAAAACTGATGCCAAGAACAAGTCTTTTTACCCTTACATCCATGTAGTAAATAAGTGTGAACTTGGAGCCGTTTGTACAATCATCAATGCTGAGGAAGAAGAACAGACCAAATTAGTGAGGGGCAGGAAGGGTCAGAGGTCACTGACCCCTCCACCTAGCAGCACTGAAAGCAAGGCGCTCCCGGCCTCGTCCTTTATGCTGCAGGGACCTGTTGTGACAGAGTCTTCGGTTATGGGGCACCTGGTTTGCTGTCTGTGTGGCAAGTGGGCCAGTTACCGGAACATGGGTGACCTCTTTGGACCTTTTTATCCCCAAGATTATGCAGCCACTCTCCCGAAGAATCCACCTCCTAAGAGGGCCACAGAAATGCAGAGCAAAGTTAAGGTACGGCACAAAAGTGCTTCTAATGGCTCCAAGACGGACACTGAGGAGGAGGAAGAGCAGCAGCAGCAGCAGAAGGAGCAGAGAAGCCTGGCCGCACACCCCAGGTTTAAGCGGCGCCACCGCTCGGAAGACTGTGGTGGAGGCCCTCGGTCCCTGTCCAGGGGGCTCCCTTGTAAAAAAGCAGCCACTGAGGGCAGCAGTGAAAAGACTGTTTTGGACTCGAAGCCCTCCGTGCCCACCACTTCAGAAGGTGGCCCTGAGCTGGAGTTACAAATCCCTGAACTACCTCTTGACAGCAATGAATTTTGGGTCCATGAGGGTTGTATTCTCTGGGCCAATGGAATCTACCTGGTTTGTGGCAGGCTCTATGGCCTGCAGGAAGCGCTGGAAATAGCCAGAGAGATGGTGAGTATGAGAAATCTCTTACCAGCTTGGGATTTTTATTTCATTTGGTTCCTTTTCTTGCATGTTTTTGTTCTTACATGTCACATGATTATTCCTCCAAATTAAAGTGCCTATGCCCATGTGATGGACAGAAAATGAAATAGGTAATTTGGAAGATTTGTATAGACTTCTAAAATCGTTTTTCATTTTTTGAAATGTATAATGCTTATGAAGCATATTATTATATTTCAAGTTTCTTGGGCCACATCTTTTCTAACGCACACTTTCCAGTTAGGATATTTATTCTTTGGATCTGTTTCATAACTTATCCTGGGGCAGATCATCAACATCATCATCTTCATTTCTTTCTCTCCTCTATTGAATGTTCTGTTTCCTGAATCCCATTTCTTCCTCATTCTTAAAGTGAGCCTTCATTTAAGGGCGTGCATCATCCTTTAGTAGTTTTGTGAGAAAGGGTGTGTGGGAGTGTAAAAATGTTGAGATCCTATATATCTGAGCATGACTTTATCCTAGCCTCATGCTTAATTGAGAGTTGGCTAGGTGTGGAATTCTAGATTGGAAGTGATTTTTCTCTCACTGTCTTGCAGTCGTTCTTCCTGGTTTGTCCACTAGCTTCCAGTGCTGCAGTTGAGAAGACTGCCATTCTAATTTTTCATCCCTTGATGCATGTTCTGTTTTTCTTCTGGAAAGTTTGAGGATCTTCTCCTTTTCCCTAGGGTCTTGAGATGTCAAAATGATAGGTCTTGACTAGGTCATTTCATGGTTGTGTTGGCTACTCTATGAGATCTTATGTACGCTGATGTCTTTCAGTTCAGGCAATTTGTCATGTGGTAGTTCTTTGAAAATTTCCTTCCCTCTATTTTCTCTGCTCTCTTTATAATTCCTGTTAATATAAGGCATTTTACCTCCTGGATTGATCCGCTGTTTTTATCTTTTCTCCTCTGTTTTATGTTTTATCTCATTATCTTTTTGTTCTGATTTCTCTATGCTTTCTTCAGCTTTATCATCTAATCTTTTTTGTATGTGGGTTTTGTTTTGGTTTTGTTTTGTTTTGTTTTGTTTTGTTGTCACTCAGGCTGGAATGCAGTGGTGCGATCACAGCTTACTGCATTCTCGAACTCTGGGGCTCCCTGGTACCTGGGACTAAAGGTGTGTGCCACCATGCCCAGCTAATATTTATATTTTTTGCAGAAACAAGGTCTCACTGTGTTGCCCAGAGTGGTCTCAAACTGCTGGACTCAAGCAATCCTTCCACTTCGGTCTTCTAAAGTACCAGGATTATAGGCATGTGCCACAAGCCACAGTGCCCAGCCTTCTAGCCTTTTATTTACTTATTTTTTTTCTTGATATTTTGAAGAGCTTTTTTTTTCTCTGAATGTACTGACTTTTAAAGAATAATCAGAGCCTAGTTGATGGCTATAATCGTTTCTCTTGCTTTTTGAATACATTATAACGTATTTTTTGTTTTTGTTTTTGTTTCAGTTTCATGCCCTTACCCAGGCTGGAGTGCAGTGATGTGATGATGGCTCACTGCAGCCTCCAACCACTGGGCTCAAGGGATCCTCCCAAGTAGCTGGACCACAGGTGCATGCCAGTACACCTGGCTAAGTTTTTTACTTTTTGTAGAGACAGCATCTCACTTTGTTGCCCAGGCAGGCTGGTCTCACCACCTGAGCTTAAGCAATCCTCCCACGTCAGCCTTCCAAAGTGCTGGAATTACAGGCGTGAGCCACTACACTTGGCCTGTACTATAATTTTTAAAAATCTTTGTCTGTTTCCTATTTTCTCTTTCTTGTTAGAGGTTCTTCAGATGTCTTGATTTTTTTTTCTTTATTGAGATGGGGTTTCGCTCTTGTTGCCCAGGCTGGAGTGCAATGGCGCAATCTCAGCTCACCGCAACCTCCGCTTCCCAGGTTCAAGCGATTCTCTTGCCTCAGCCTCCTGAGTAGCTGGGATTAGAGGCATGCGCCACCATGCACAGCTAATTTTGTATTTTTAGAAGACATGAGGTTTCTCCACGTTGGTCAGTCTGGTCTCGAGCTCCTGACCTCAGGTGATCCGCCCACCTCGGCCTCCCAAAGTGCTGGGATTACAGGCTTGAGCCACTGCACCCAGCCTTGATTTATATTTTTAAGAGAGAAAGAGATGTTTTAAAAAATGACTTGAAGCTCTCTGTTACAGTATGGGCCAGGCTTGCTAGCCTGTAGTCCTCTCCGTAGAATAATAAGGCAGCCAGCCAGCATATGGGTCTTTTTTCTGAGTTGAGTTTTCCCAGAGGAAAAAAAAACATTTTTTTTTTTGTTCCAGAGAAAAATCTTGAGATTTCCTGTCTAGAGATGCAAGCTTGGCTGCCAGCGTCCTAAAAGCCAAGTGGAGAAGAGGATGGTAGGGTTGTGTGGGTGGGGATATGGGCTCATGATTCAGTGCGCGGACTTTGACAATCTCCCGCCTGTTTTCAGTGGATGAGAACAGTTACCTGGTTGAACTGGGTTAAGGATCTAACTCCTCTTAGAAACTTTGGGCTAATGCTCTATTTTTCAGCCCCATGTTGCACCCCCACTTACTGAGGCCTCCCCAAGCTCTGTGCCCTAAAGTGGCTGGCTTTCTGGGGGCTCCTCCACTGCACTCATCATTACTGTCTGCTTCCTTGCAGTGCACAGAATCACTGTCACTCACTTCATCTCTCATGTTTCCAGCTTCCCATTGCTCATGGTGTCATGAGTTTATCTTGCAAGTTTATCCACTTTTTCGTGGGAAGGGATCAGATGGATGTACAACTGTATGTTTAGTAGTCTACCATATTATTTATAACCTTCTGGCAAAAAGAAGTGCCCATAGACTATAGTAAAAATTATATTGAATGTGAAATATATATTTGAAATTAGAACATTTTAATTCAGTCATGCAAGGAGCTTGCCCTTTACTCTTATCATGTCCCCTATCTCCCAATTACGGTCTTTTCTTTGTGCCTCCTTCCCTGTCTCCATTATTAACATCACGGTGAAACTCCAAGTTTGAGGTAGAAGATTCACTTCCCCTAAGAAGTTTATACACAATGACATTTTAAAATGCAAAGATCCTAGGAGGATGTAACATTTAAGACCCTCAAGTACAAAATTCTTTAGTCAAATTTGAGCGCTCAAAATAATCCGTTAATCATCCTCTTGTCAAAGTTGAGTTCTTGCTTCCCAACTTTCCTTGGAAAGTCACAGTATTTGGTGGGTTTTTTGTTGTTTGTTTTTTGAGACAGAATCTCACTTTGTTGTGGGGTTTCACCATGTTGGCCAGGCTGGTCTGGAACTCCTGACCTCAGATCATCCATCTGCCTTGACCTCCTAGAGTGTTGGGATTACAGGTGTGGGTCACTGCGCCCAGCCTGTTTATTGCTTTTTGATGTGCATATGTGTATGTGACCATCTGACAGTGTTTTCGTTATTTCAACATTTATTATTAACATATCTCAGCCCAGTTTTTTTGTGTAAACTTTTAGGTGTTCTATAGCAATAATTGATAATCAGTAATCAGGCTAAATCTTCCCCAGCAAATCTCTAGATCCTGTGTCTCAATTCAGGTCTTGGGCCGAGCATGATGGCTCACGCCTGTAGTCCCAGCACTTTGGGAGGCCGAGGTGGGCAGATCGCCTGAGGTCAGGAGTTCAAGACCAGCCTGGCCAACATGGTCAAACCCCGTGTCTACTAAAAATATGCAAAAATTAGCTGGACATGGTGACAGGCACCTGTAATCCCAGCTACTCGGGAGGCTGAGGCAGGAGAATGGCTTGAGCCTAGGAGACGGAGGTTGCAGTGAGCCAAGATGGTGCCACTGCACTCTAGCCTGGGCGACTGAGTGGGATTCAATCTCTAAAAAAAATAAGAAAAAAGTTAGGCTTGTTGTCTCTTTGAGCTGATGTACCACTATCACTATAAGATCCGTTTCTAGCTTTTATTTACCTAGCTTTTATTCTACTTTTCTCAGTGCACTCAAGGACAAATTAAAATTACACTAACTTGCCTTTTATTTAATTTGACAGATGATGTTTCAATTGTCCAGGATACTTTGAGTCTAGTTTTATCTTACTAGGTTTTAGCAGATAGATGCATTCAGTTTTGGTCTTGCTTAATGAGCATGCCCTTAATCCTATCATGTAAGATAAAGTCACATATATTTCATTAGAGATCCATTTTGGCCTATGTATTTATCAGGTGTTTTGACAAGCACGATGTTATATTAAAATATTGGGAAGTCCTCAAGAGACATTGCTCCTCTCCCTGTGTCACACTACTCTGAAAATTGCCGAAAACTAGAACATTTCTATATTTAAAAATGGTGTTTACTTCCCTTCCTTTTTCCCTTCCTTTTTCCCTTCCCACAAGTGTGGGACTTGTGAATCTATTCATTTCAGCACAAGTCCCCTTTGCTTCTGTCCAACATTGACCACTGTTTGCCTTGGTATAATTGTGTATGAGAATCACAATGACCTCTGACATGAATGATATTACAGAGGTAATTGCCTCTGAATGGGTATGGATATAACTTGGTATGTACAAATCACCTTTGAGACATTAAGGAATGCCAAGGCGTGCAGGGATGTGACAGAAGGTAGATCTGGTGGCCATGGATCCCTTGAGGCTGGATAGCCCTACTAGTGGGGGAGTCGGGGAGTCTTTGCTTGTTCCCCTCTCATAGAAGGTGCCCCTCCCAAATTTTTCCAACCCCCCTTGGGAAACTTTTAATCTTTTTTTTTTACCTGACAGTATATGTTAACTGGTTTTAGGTTAATTTTTATTTTCTATTTTTATTTTTATTTTGAGATGAGTCTTGCTCTGTTGCCAGGCTGGAGTGCAGTGGCACAATCTTGGCTCACTGCAACCACCTCCTCGTGGGTTCAAGTGACTCTCCTGCCTCAGCCTCCCAAGTAACTGGGACTGCAGTCATGCACCACCACACCTGGCTAATTTTTGTATTTTTAATAGAGACAGGGTTTCACCATGTTGGCCAGGCTGATCTCAAACTCCTGATCTCAAGTGATCCACCTGCCTCAGCCACCCAAAGTGCTGGGATTACAGGCCTGAGCCACTGTGCCTGGCCAATTTTCTTTAAATTTCTGAATCAATATATTAAAGATTATATTTAGGGTTTTTTTTCCTTGATTTTTTGAGACAGGGTCTCACTCTGTTGTCCAGGCTGGAGTGCAGTGGCATGATCTCGGCTCACGGCAACCTCCGCCTCCTGTATTCAAGTGATTCTCCTGTCTCAGCCTCCCCAGTAGCTGGAATTACAGGTGCGTGCCACCACACCCAGCTAATTTTTGTATTTTTAGTAGAGACGGGATTTGAGGATGTTGGCCAAGCTGGCCTTGAACTCCTGACCTTAAGGAATCCACCCTCCTCGGCCTCCCAAAGTACTGGGATTATAGGTGTGAGCCACTGCACCTGGCCAGTTTAGGGGCTTATTTTTAATACAAGTTTAAATAATGGATAATTATTTACTTCCCCCATCTAACAGACTCACATCTTTCTTAAATTTACTTTAAATTGTGATGGAAAACATGATTTGGAAAATATAAAATAGATTGATTACATTATGAAAATGAAATCACATATTAAAACATCAAAACAGCCAAGTCAGAAAGGTAGGCTCTCTAGTTTAACTGTAAAATAGAGCCACCAGTCTACATGCTCTCTAAATTCTCAACTATATGTTCCTTGAAGGTGGTCATTTCCAGGGCCTGGCAAGGCCCCCATCCTGGTGAAGGCTCCCTTCAACTCCTGTTCTCTGCTCCTAACTCCAGTACCTCACCCCCACCCCTACCTGATTGTTCTTCCTCTGTGCTTGCTACAACTGCCCTTTCTCACATTCCCACACTCCCTTTCTCCATTCTCCTCTCCCTCCCAGCCCCCTCTCTCTGGCAAGCACTTGCTTTTTGTTACTTCTGCTGGGACCCATCTTCATTTCTCACTCTCTAGGCGGTGGCGCCCTGTTCCCATGGCTTTCAGTATATAGCAGAGACTTGTATCTAATTTACCTGTTTTTCTTAACACTGTGTGGTATATCTTTTTATATCACTGCATGATGACATTGACACTAAATTTCCAGAGAAAAGGTTCATTTTCTTTCAGGATTTCGTCCAAATTCTAAGGAATCAAGTGAAATTTTCAGTTTTGAATTTTATTGCATATATTACCTTACAGAATAAATCATGACAAATTGAAGGACTCAAATTTTACTACGATTTATTTCTTGACTTTTTTTTTCTCTCTAGAGGTAGGGGGATGATGTGGGGAGCATTACACTTGATTTTAAAGTAAAATTTATAAGGAGTACACGATTCTTTGGCCAAGGCTGGGCAAGGTGGCTTATGCTTGTAATCCTAGCACTTTGGATTACCTGAGCCCAGGAGTTTGAGACCAGCCTGGGCAACATGGAGAAACCCTGTCTCTACCAAAAATACGAAAATTAGCCAGTCTTAATGACCTAGTCTCAAAATAAATAAGTAGAGAAAAATATTCAAAAAAATCCCAAAGGACCATAAACAAAAATATTGATAAACAAGCCACAACACACAAGTTATTATATGTTAATTACTCATCCCTGGGATGTTAAACTAGTTATTGCTAATCTGTTAAAAGAGCTAACAGCAAATAGTATGTAAAAGCAGGCATCCCTTTCAATTCAACAAATATCTTGAGTCTCTACTGGAAAACCAGTTGAAATGTGAAGTTAAACTCCTGTCAGGGAACTTGCAGGGTGACTCAGCCTCAGCCTCGGCCCCTTAGCTGGTGTGTGGTTAGAGAAGCTCTATGTCAAGGCTTCTGAACTTCATGCAGGAAAGTTTGTGTGATTCTGCAGAAAGCAATGCCTTGCCGCACACAGGTCCTGCACTAGGGCTTCGATTTTTCCAAAAGATACGGCTTGCTTCATCCAATACTGTTTCAGGAAAATGGAGGTTCCTCCTCCGCACCCCAAGCCAAGGCCAATTTCGCGGGACCCTCAAGGCTTGCTACTGCAGATCAGATTCGTCCAATTTATTGGAAAAACGTATGAGAAGAGAAAATCAAGGCAGCTAAACACTTGCCCCGGAAGGTCCTGGCTTTTGCCGTTCTCCTCAACAGCTGTGTAGAGGGGAGGCCTGGGTGAGAGCCCCAGAGTCACACTGCTTCATATGAATTCCAGGACTTGTTGTTTCCTTGCGAGGTCACTAGCTCAAGTCACTTAACCTCTGTGCTTCACTGTCCTTACCATACAAAGTATGAAAACTGACAGCACCTACAGTAAAGAGGTATGTTAGGAGGATTAAATGTGTTGCTCTTTGGAAAGTGCTTAGAGCAGTGTTTGGCACATTTCAACAGTTAGGTGGTTTCAGAGGAAATGCAAGCTGCAGACTGGTGACCGCCCTCAGATGGTGTCCTCCCTCATTGTTGTCTTAGTAAAGATGTGTTCCTGTTAGCAAGCTCACTCAGTACTCTATAGCTTATGTTGTAGTTCCATCATAGTGCAGCTAGCTCATCTTGCCAGGGGTGTTCAGAACTTAATCTCTTTGAAAGTTGTCCTTGGTGGAAATAAAAACATTATCTCCTTTTTACTCTTGTTGGAAACTCAAGTTTGCTGCGGGGGGAAGGGTGGCAGGGTGTGAGGTATTTCAGGTGCAGTATTAATATTATGTCTTATGAAATAGCATCAGCCAACACGAACACACTCAGGAATTATATCTCTCAAAAGACAGAAGGCAAAAGGGAGGGACTAAAATCTACCTTGCATGTTAAGTAAAAGCATTAACATTCTAGTGAGATGACAAAGTTTTGATAGCGATTATCTAAAGCGAAAGAAAAGAATCTGCCTGGTAGTAAAGTTGGGTTTTTTTGGTTTGGTTTTGTTTTTTTTTTGAGACTGAGTCTTCCTCTATCCCCCAGGCTGGACCGCAATGGCACAATTTCGGCTCACTGAAACCTTCGCCTCCCAGGTTCAAGCAATTCTCCTGCCTCAGCCTCCTGAGTAGCTGAAGTTGCAGGCACCTGCCACCATGCCTGGCTAATTTTTGTATTTTTAGTAGAGACGGGGTTTCACCATGTTGGCGAGGCTGATCTCGAACTCCTGACCTCAACTGATCCGTCTGCCTCAGCCTCCCGAAGTGTTGGGATTACAGGCATGAGCCACCGCGCCTGGTCTAAAGTTGTTTTTTTAAGTAAACTTTTTAACATGTCAGCACTAAAAGGCCCAAAATAATTAAGAATTCTGAGTTTGTGTGGTGTATCCACAGAATGATTCAGGACAAATACTTCCCTATAGCATTCCACCTCCTCCCCTAAAACAGTGAATATACTGAGAATATGTGAACTCCAGAGGGCTTGTATTAGTCCGTAAAGAAATACCTGAGGCTGGGTGATGTATGAAGAAAAGAGGTTGAATTGGCTCACAGTTCTGGAAGCTGTATAGGAAGCATGATGCCTGCATCTGCTCAGCTTCTGGGGAGGCCTCAGGAAACTTACAGTCATGGAGGGAGGTAGAGGGGGAGCAGGAAGGCTTCTTGCATGGCAGGAGCAAGACAGAGTGAGGTGCGAGGTGTTGCACACTTTCAAACAACCAGGTCTTGTGAGAACTCAGTATCACAGGAATAGCACCCACATGATCCAGCCACCTCCCACCAGGCCCTGCCTCCAGCATTGGGTGCTACAGTTCAACCTGAGATTTGGTGAAGTCACAGATCCAAACCATATCAGGGATCTATTGTATTTGAAGGATTTAGCCTTTAATTTACGGGCAGTGCAAAACCATTAGTGATTTCTAAGCGTGTAAGTCACATGTACAGGTTTGTGTTTTATAAAGGAAACTCAGGAAATAAGTAGGGAGACATCAGAAGCAGACAGGTCATTCGAGAGGCTGTGGGATTAATTTGTGCAAGAGCTGGTAAGGACCGAGTATGTGGTAGAAACGGGAGTCAGAAGGATTGGATGGATCTGAGAAACGTTTTAGGGATTCAAAGTTGATAGACTTTTTTTTTTTTTTTTTTTTGAGACGAAGTCCTGCTCTGTCACCCATGCTGGAGTGCAGTGGCACGTTCTCGGCTCACTGCAACCTCCACCCCCCAGTTTCAAACATCCTCCCAGGCCTCAGCCTCCCAAGTAGCTGGGATTACAAGCATGTGCCACCATGCCGACTAATTTTTGTATTTTTTAGTAGAGATGGGGTTTGACCATGTTGGCCAGGCTGGCCTCGAACTCCTGACCTCAGGCGATCCACCTGCCTCCCAAAGTGCTGGGATTATAGGCGTGAGTCACCACACCCGGCTAAAGTTGATAGATTTTAAACACTGACTAGATGCAGCAGGTTTGGGAAAGTGAGGAGGCAGAGGTCAAGGATGAAGTTGAGGTTTCTAGCTCCAGCAAGTCAGTGGGCGAGGTGAGGGGTCATCAACATACCAATAACAGAAAGAAGGGTTGAAGAAAAGAAATTTAGGTTTGCGTTTAATATGTATTAGACAAGAAAATATTAGATATGAAGGCAGTTCAGCCTAATATACATGTTTAGATAAGTCAACACTAGATTCTAATACAGCATTTTAAATAACTGCTTGCTTTTTATTTAGCCTTTCAAATAGATGTAAACTGATAAATTTTTAAATCCAAATTGAAAGAAAGTGGAGAGAAAAATAGGAAATCATGAGGTCTGTGTCATGTTTATAAAAAAAAACCCAGAGAATCCCAAAAAGATACCAAAAAAATTTAAGCTATCATCATAATTATTCCTAAAATGTAATTGGAAGGGGAAACAGAAAGGATAACTTGCTGTTTGGGCTTTTTTTTTTTTTTGGACAGAGTCACTCTTGCCCAGTCTGGAGTGCAGTGGTGCGATCCCAGCTCACTGCAACCTCTGCCTCCCAGGTTCAAGCGATTCTCCTGTCACCACATCTGGCTAATTTTTTTTTTTTTTTTTTTTTTTTTTTTTTTGTAGAGATGGGGTTTTGCCATGTTAGCCAGTCTGGTCTCGAACTGCTGACCTCAGGTGATCCACTTGCCTTGGCCTCCCAAAGTGTCGGGATTACAGGCCTGAGCCACCACACCTGGCCTGTTTAGACTTTTAAAATAATTTTCCCAAGATACTGACAATGTGGTGAAAAACCAAGACTGTATTTAATTACACTGAGAAAGAGCACATGTCAAACATTTTTATGGGCCTGAAGAAAACCTCTCTGTTGTGCACAGTTGTACCCTATTTCCTCAGTTTCAGAATGCAGCCTCGTGCCTTTATGCACTGAATTGAGGCTAGGCAAAGTGCTACCACATGACTCTATGGTGAAATGGGCTCTGAAGTGGGAATCGTCGCTCTGCCCATAGGAAGGAGCAAGAAACATGGGAAAAGGCAGAAGAAAAGAAAAATTGGCCACAGGGTTTAGATGAGGTGCTGGCACCATCTGTGCTGGTCAGGGTTCCCATTTGAACTCCTGAGTCATGAAAAAGATTTACATATTATTTACATAAAGATAACAGTATTATTCTTATTGTAAAACTAATGGAACTGTTCGTAGAAGAATGCCGCAATCCTGATAACCCAACATATCTGACTCTTCTAGATTTTGTCCATGTGCTGATTATTTCACTAGATATAATAGTATAATACAGTTAGCTTCCCATATTCATGGGTTCTGCATTCTTAGATTCAATCAACAGCAGATTGGAAATATTTGGAGGGGGCAGGGCGCAGTGGCTCACGCCTGTAATCCCAGAACCTTGGGAGGCCAAGGTGGGCAGATCACCTGAGGTCAGGAGTTCAAGACCAGCCTGGCCAACACAGTGAAACCCTGTCTCTACTAAAAATACAAAAAAAATTAGCTGGACGTGGTGGCGGGCGCCTGTAGTCCCAGCTACTCGGGAGGCTGAGGCAGGAGAATGGCGTGAACCCAGGAGGCGGAGCTTGCAGTGAGCCAAGATCACGCCACTGCACTCCAGCCTGGGCGACACAGCGAGACTGTCTCAAAAAAAAAAAAAAAACTTGGAAAAATTCCATCTGTTCTGAATATATACAGACTTTTTTCTTCTTGTCATTATTCTCTAAATGAGAAAGTATAACAACTTTGCATAGCATTAGCTACATCATATTAGGTATCATACATAATCTAGAGATGGCTTAAAGTATACAGGAGGATGTGCTTAGCTTATATACAAATACTGTGCTATTTTATATAAGCGACTTGGGCATCCGTGGAGTTTGGTATTGGCAGAGGTCCTGGAACCAGTCCTCCATGGATGCCAGGAATGACTGTAATGACTGCTAACATGTACTGAATGCTTTCTAAGCACTATACGTGAATTACCACATTTAGACCTCAAACCAACCCTTTCTGGTGGGTCTCATCACACTCCAGGTGAGATTTGAGGTCCAGAGAGGAGCTTGCCCAGGATTCAAACCTTGTGAGTCTCCATCATCACAGTGTAGATACAAGTCTGTGTTGCTTTTTTTACTTTATTTTGTAATTTTAATTTTCATTCTAATCTGTGATTTCTTTTTTCTTAGTTTAGCGTGAGTATAATGTAATTTATTCAAGTACCGCACTTTTATTGAGGTGGTTTCCAGTTAATTTACTACTTTCTATGGAGCAATAAGCATTTTTATTTTTCGATTTAAAGAAAAATTTATGGCTGTTGAACTGCTAGGTCAAGAAGGGCCAACATTGTTATGGTTTTTGATAGGCATTGTCTTGTGGTTTAATCAACAAAGGGTCATAACAAGGCATGAGCATCCATGAGGACAGGTGAGCCTGTTTACTGCTACCTCAGTGGCATTGGACCTTCTTTTTAAACTTTTAGTTCCTTTTCATTTATTTTATTAGTGATATTAATGTTGTTCCCTGTTAATTTTGTGTTTAATGTCCATTAATTGTTAATTTGGAATTTTATTATTCTCAATTTGTTTTTCTGTACCTATTTCTCATAGCCTGAATCACTTCTCTGGAAAATTGAGATGTATGGAACTCCTTTCTTCAGGGGTGCCCCTAAATTAGGCATTAGTAGAGCTCTTAAAAAGTTTCTCATCCCAGCCGGGCACGGTGGCTCACGCCTGTAATCCCAGCACTTTGGCAGGCCGAGACGGGCGGATCACAAGGTCAGGAGATCGAGACCATCCTGGCTAACACGGTGAAACCCTGTCTCTACTAAAAATACAAAAAATTAGCCGGGCGTGGTGGCGGGCACCTGTAGTCCCAGCTACTCTGGAGGCTGAGGCAGGAGAATGGCATGAACCCGGGAGGCGGAGCTTGCAGTGAGCCGAGATCGCGCCACTGCCCTCCAGCCTGGGCGACACAGCGAGACTCCATCTCAAAAAAAAAAAAAAAAAAGTTTCTCATCTGTAAATTAGATGATGATAGAGGACTGTAAAGGATAAAACTAACTTTGCTGGAAATCAAGTAGCCTCCTTGGTGGAGGCTAAACTATTCCTGGAAGCTTTTGAGTTGATGTGGTTTTAAAGGAAGCAAATATTATGAGCTACCTAGCATCAGCCTTAGAATTGTGTCCTCATGTGTTGGTTTAGTAAAGATAACCCTCCTGTCTCTAAACTTATTGGTGGAAATTAAACTGAAGAGAAAATTCAGCCCTATCTGATGCTGTCCACGTAAACCTGGTAATAGTGGAGTGATTTTGGTTGTATGCACTTAAGAGCTGACACTTAATTTGAAGATGTTGGCAGCATACTGCTGTCAGTTAACGTGCCTTATGAAAATAGAATTGAAGAACTGCTACACAGGCAGATAGACAATACCAGGGTCAACAGAATAACAAATTTCCAGCCGAACTCAAATCTGAAGTGGTGCTAGTCCCTTCTGATGGACTAGCACCACCAGTGGGACCTGGGTGCCCTGACATTGTTCAGCGGTGGAGGCATTTCATCTCTGTTATGTGTTTCTCACGGAGCAGCTAGTGGAAGTTTCTAGTAAAATGTATATTCATCTAACAAGTCTCAGGCCTATTCATTGTGGCTGGCTCCCTAGGGGTGCCATGTGGTTCCAGACTTTGAAAGCTGTGATTGTGAACCTTAAATCTTAGTTCAGACACATGTCAGGTGAAGGCCTCTGGTTTGCTTGAAAGTTATTTTTGTTTTTTCATACAAAGCTGGTTGCTAGGATAATAGTGTAATTCATTAGGATAAGTGATAGGACAGTTCCCAAATTATTCTGTTTGCTTGTTTCTAGGTAGGGTTCTTTATTGAAGTAATAAAAATATACTAATGCTTTGAAAGGGCAACCCCTCAAAAATGAAATGTATTTGTTTGCTGATATAAGACTTTGTGTCTCCCTCCTCTTCAGAGAGCAGGCCTGGGCATTTTAATCCACTATTATTTGTGAAAAGCACATCGATTTAAAACCAGCTCACCTGTCACCTCATTCCCCAGGCAGCAAGTGCTGCCCAGCTGCACTCCCATTTTACCTGTTACACCACTTAGCACCCATGGGTCAAATCCCCCAAGTCACTCCAATAGTGGCAGGTCTGAGTGCCTCCTCACTGAGGGTAGGACAGACCTCTGAGACCTTACTGACTCAGCCTTCCCTTTGCAGGTTACACAGACCCAACAGTATTCAGAGCCTATGCCTCCCAGCACTTATGCAAATGCCCAGCTAAGCTGGAGCTGCTCTTGGGGTGACTACCAGCTTATCTGATTGTCGTCCTCACCAGATAGGCTCCCCAAGGGCTGAGTTGGCCCCAGAGCCCACCCTAATGCCTGGCATGGGGGGTGATCAGTGCAGGGTAAATTTGTGACTGACAGGTTCTTTAAGAGACACGTAGAAGCAATGTAACCTCCAGTGGGAAGAGGTGGGCCTTTGGATGCCATTTAAATATGTATGTTTAAAAGTATGTAATATTGAGCTGGGCATGGTGGCTCACACCTGTAATCCTGGCACTGTGGGAGGCCGAGGCAGGCGGACCACCTGAGGTCAGGAGTTTGAGACTAGCCTGGCCAACGTGGGGAAACCCCATCTCTACTAAAAATACAGAAGTTAGCTGGGCATGGTGGTGGGCACCTGTAATCCCAACTGCTGGGGAGGCTGAGGCGGGAGAATCGCTTGAACCGGGAGGTGGAGGTTGCAGTGAGCTGAGATCGCGCCATTGCACTCCAGCCTGGGTGACAAGAGCGAAACTCCATCTCAAAAAAAAAAAAAAAAAGTATGTAATATTGGAAATAATTTGTGAATATGCTGGTCAGAATTTTAATCTACGTATAAAAATTTAAGGAGATGTTAAAATGTGTTTTGGTAGTGAGACTGATTTTTGTTTTCCTGTTATAGTTTTGGGGAAAAAAATGATGAGAGATGGATGACCAGCAGCATTCTTAATTTCTTGTCCTTGTGGTTCTTTGTAAGGCAGAGGAACAGGTTTTGCCTTCATTATAGAGGGCATCTGTATGAGGCTTTGTTGTTCATGAGTTTCAGTGTATGTCTCTGGGGACAAAAATGTGAGTTGCCACTGGGTGAATGTAGTGCCACCTGAATGTTGAAAAACACAACTCCTGAATCACCACCAAACCTGTTCTTCCTCCAGGGTCTCCCAAGAGAACAGGTTTGGTGGGGATTCAGGAGTTGTATTTTGTTCATGTTAAGTCTGAGATGCCTCCTAGACATTGAAATGCACAATGACCATTTCAGAATGAAGGAATTTCCAGTGGATAGTTTTTAGCAGGTAAAAGCAGCCCCACCTTATGTTCAGTGAGCACTTGTGTAAGTGCTGGGAGGCATGGTCTATGGATACTGTGAGGTCTGTGTAAGTGTGGAGAAGCTAC
This sequence comes from Homo sapiens, assembly GCF_000001405.40. NCBI lineage: Eukaryota > Metazoa > Chordata > Mammalia > Primates > Hominidae > Homo > Homo sapiens. Next base: position 115,878 of record NW_014040931.1, on the reverse strand, counting down.
ACCTAACTCGGCCAAAGGGAGGGCTGAGTCAGTAAGGCCTCAGAGGCCTGCCCTCCCCATGTGGCACTTGGACCTGCCACTACTAGAGTGACTTGGGGGGTTTGAAGCGTGAGTGGCAGGGGAAATAGGCACATGTCAAGAACCACACTCTGCTGCTTTGCCAGTCTCCTCCACCATGCCCTGTGAAACTCACAGTCCACCAAGAGCACTCTCTTAGTTCTCTGCTCTGAACAACCACTTTGCCTGGCTTTCTCAGTAACACCATCTACCGCTACCCCCGCCCCCACCCCACACTCTCCCAGGCAGAAGCAGAGTCATTAGTATTTAGCCCTCTCACTGTGGGCCAAGTGACAACTTGTTCCTTCACTAGGGTACATCAGGACAGGGATAAGCGTTAAGCATCCCTGGTAGAGACCTGAGGAACATTGTGCAAGGCGGCCGGGGTTGTTGATAGTATCTGTATCAACTACTAATGTTTTAGTTTCGCCTCCTGGCAGGGCGAGGGTTTTAGCAGTGCCACAGAAACCGTTCTTCATTGAAGCAAATCATCTCCCAATAATGGAATCTCACTAACTTGCTGACCCAGCATTCTGTTCTCTCAGACCTACCTCATCCCTTCCCACCTTTGGAAAAAAGCTCCATTTAAGGTGAATATGCCAACAAAAAATCTTGTTGCTCAGCTCCAGAAGATTCTCTGTTTAAGATCTTCCAAATTAGCTGTAGAGAACCCCAGGAAATGATCCAGCCACATAAAGACTCACTTTTCCCACGGACCCCCAAGGAGCTCTGAAACCACCAGCAAACACCCAGTTGTTGCCTTTAGCTCCTTAATTTGACTTGGGAACTCTGAAATCCCTTAGTCATTGGTGTATTTTCAGACAATTTCAATAATCTGACCAGTCCCATCCTCTACTTGTTGCTTTTTTCTAATCTCACTCTTGAAAGAAAAGTCATGTGATAGAACCACCTTTTATTATACGACCACCACACTGCCCAGAGACAAGGCCCAAAGGAGAGCACAGAGGCTCTTGAATTTACTGGACGGTCTTTGTTGGCAAAGAGTCATAATTATAGAATCTTTTAGGTCATATTTTATCCTTCATCCAGACATCTGTAGGAGTTGGCTTCTTGGGAAACTATAACATCACTTAGCCCCTAAGCTGAATTTCTTAACCTGTAAAATGGAGTTAATAACTGGACTGCCTTGTCAAGGTGTTGGATAAATGAAATCTGTCCTAACAATAGACACTTAAATCTTGGGCCTGGGCATGGTGGCTCACATCTGTAATCCCATCACTTCAGGAGGCTGAGGTAGGAGGATTGCCTAAGCCCAGGAGTTTGAGACCAGCTTGGGCAACAAAGTGAGATGCCATCTCTACAAAAAATAAATCAGCCAAGTGCAGTGGTATGCACCTGTGGTCCCAGCTACTAAGGAAGTAGAGGCAAGAGGATTCCTCTAGCCCAGGAATTTGAGGTTGCAGTGAGCTCTGATTGTTCCACTATGAGTACAGTGGCACAATCAAAGCTCACTGCAACCTCAAACTCTTTGGCTTGATGAATGAGTGACAGAGCGAGACCCTATCTCAAAAAAAAAAAAAAGTGTAGGTGGAGGAGGAGGAGATGTATTGAGGAATTATGCAGGATTTCTAAACTTGGTTATATTACTTCCAGATCTCTATTTTCTTCATGGAGACTCTTGGAGTTTCCTTTTCTTTTTTTCCTTTTTCCTTTTCTGTTGAAATGAGGATTGTACTCTTGCTGAGTATCTTCCTAATCTGGTAGGAATCTTCTGAAACAGAAATGTAGAAGAAAATTTCCATATCTATGAAGATGAATTGAACCAATAGTTCTAAAACTTTCTTGAGGATAAGAACCTGGGATGCTTCCCATTCAGTCTCTTCTGGGACAGTGTCCTCAGTCTGTGTTTTTTAACTCAAGCTTAGGACCATGCTGGTGCAGGTGGCAGAGTTACCCTTTGAGAAATGCAAAAATCAATTCTGAAAACTGAAGGTTCATAAGCTAGTCACAGATTTGGGTGCCAAAGTTTCCATTCTAGTGTGGACGTAGTTTTTCCTTCCAGTAGGTTTCCAGGAAGAAAAGGCCCCGGTTTGAGCATGACCTGTGGGAGTGACCTGAAATGAGATGTGAGACTATGTCTCATGTTGTTGCCAAATTAAATGACCCCACTGAAGCTTGGCTGAGAGGTGGCAGGGGCTGGCTTAGGATTTGAGGACCAGTGATCCTGTGGTAGTTTCATTGGCATTAGCTTCAGTATATCAAGATATCCTCGTTTTTGAAAGTTCCTTTCTGCTGGGACTCTGCTATTTCCTGAGCCTCCAGTGTCTGTCCTGTCAGGCTGCCCCTGCCTTTGAAAAACTTGCCACTTCCAGGAATAGGGTGGCTTTGCCTGACAATACCTCAACCTGTTTGAGAAGATGGACAGGCGAGAGCGTTGGTGAGATGGCAGTGGCTCCGGGTGCGAAAGAGGAAGGTAATATGAATGCAAGTAGGAAGAAAGGAGTAAAAATGAGAAAGACCTCCAGAGCCAAGTGTTTGGAACAGCTTTGGAGATTTCCGCTTCAGTATGATCTTCACAGATTTGAAATCTTGTTAAGGGAGTCCTATTGTGGCAGCAGGTTTGTCGTTTCTGCACTGAAACTGTAAACATTTCAGTATGGGTGCCTTGTGAATAAGCAGCTTCCAGTAATTGGCTTTCTGGAAGCACAGACCCAACTCCTGGGTAGGATGAGCCATGGAGAGAAGCAGCTTACACCAAGAGTCACTTCCCTGGAGTGTAATTTCTTTAAAAAGATGCCTTTTTAGATTCAGAAAGCACAAAATGTAATCATTTCTCTTTATAAGCTAATCCACTGTTTGAGCAAAGGGTAAAATAAAAATAAGCTAGTGCAAGACCTTGTGCAACTTCAATTTCAGTGTTTCAAACTATGTAAGTATTTCTCTCCCTGTACTTGAGAAAAAGCTCTTCTCTTTCTTCATCACAGGGCTGCCGCAGGTCTCCTACTCCTGCTGGGTTCAGCCTTTTCTCAGGTTCTCTGCTTTTATTCAGAGGAAAAGTGCTAATCAATGGCTTATACCTAGTCCTGGACTCTAGCACTCTGTGCCCTTCCTTTCTAATTTCTTAAAGGGCACAAGCTCCTTTTAACATAGGAAAAACTCCGTTAGACAAAATATATAAGGTTTTCAGCACAGTGGCAATTTTCTTTTGGGGCTATAAAAGAAACCCTCTGATTAGGATTATTTTAATGGAGTATATATAACTGTAGATAAGATAAAATGCAGGCTGGGTGCAGTGGCTCATGCCTGTAATCCCCGCACTTTGGGAGGCCGAGGAGGGTGGATCACCTTAGGTCAGGAGTTCGAGACCAGCCTGGCCAATATGGTGAAACCCCGTCTCTACTAAAAATACAAAAGTTAGCTGGACGTGATGGTGGGTGCCTGTAATCCAGCTACTTTAGAGGCTAAGGCAGGAGCATCACTTGAACCCGGGAGGTAGAGGTTTCAGTGAGCCAAGATCTCGTCACTGTACTCCAGCCTGGGCAACAGAGTGAGACTCCATCTAAAAAATAATAATAAAATGCAAACTGTGTTTCAGAAAAAAAGGCAAGTTTGGTTAGCACAAAGAAACATCATTAGTGACACCTGTGTTGGCCTTCTGAGTTATGAGACTTCATATTAACATTATAACAAACTACGTATACATTTTGTGCAAGAGAAAAATTACTAAACCAGGCCTTCTTGAGTAATGCTTTAATTTTCCAGAAGGGGGACATAGATTGGATTTAACTTAAATTGAGGCAAATGGATGTATTTTATTTGGGAAATTGTTTTTTGTTCCTCCTTTGTTTTGCCTCCATAAATTTATTAATGCAGAACCTGAAGGCTGTAAACCCAGGATAATTAGAGTTACAGTGTTACAGAACATTAAAAACCCACAGCAAGTGGCTGATATCTGCCTACCATATCTGCAGTTGAAGTTCATACCATGTGTGATAATTACGAACTTTCTTTTTTGTGGGCACCTTGGTAGAAATTATTAGTATCACCTGCCATATTTTCACATGTTACTTAAACATCAATAAAGTGTACATAGTAAAGCAGATAGCTGAGGGTGGGGAATAAGTGGTTAAATACTGTGTCTGACCTGTAAAATACGCTCTAAATAGACAAAAGGAACCCCTTTGTGTGGCAGCATAGCTGGGTTTGGTTTAGTAGCAATAGTAGATTGTTAGCTTTAACTCCTCCTGGATGTCTGTGCTGCTGCCCATAGCCTTGCAGACAAGCACAGACGGCCTTTGTAGTTTCAAGGGACCATCCATTCCACATGGGACTAGAGAGTAACAAAATGACTAGGGATCAGTGCTGGTACTTCCTGGGAAGTATGTGCAGGGTGTGTGTGTGTGTGTGTGTCAGTCAAGGTCTTGCCCTGTCATCCAGGCTGGAATGCAGTGGTGTGATCATAGTTGGCTGCAGCCTTGACCTCATGGGCTTGAGCAGTCCTCCTGCCTCAGCCTCCTGAATAGCTGGGACTACAGGGAGTGCCAACACACCCAGCAAATTTAATTTTATTTTTTGTAGAGACAGGGCCTTTCTTTGTTGCCCAGGCTAATCTTGAACTCCTGGCCTCAGGCAGTCCTCCCACCTCAACCTCCCAAAGTGCTGGGATAACAGACATGGGCCACCTTACTTGGCCCTGTTCAGGTTATTTTGCCCTGATCAGTGTCTTTAAGTAGCAGAAGATACCCCCACCGTGCCCTTTTTTCCCAACTGGGTATTATCCCCAATGTATTGTTGAGAAAATCAAGACTTAAATTAACTTGCCTAGGCTCCTGTACCAGTGAGAGACAGGGCCAAGTATAAGTTTCTTTTAGCCCTGCTGCTATTCCAGATCAGCAGCTTCAGTGGACAGCTCCGCTCCAGTGAAAAACTCCGAGAACTTCCTCTCCGCCCCAGCTTTCTCTCTTTTCCTTATTTCTTGTCTTTGTTTTTAGACTGCCTAAATTTGAGGTAAAAATCAAAAAAGATTTCTGATAAGGAATATCTGAATATAAGGAAGGTACACAGAGGAATTGTCAGTTAAACTAACTGGAACAGTTTCTTTGACTAGATTTGTCGTTGTTGTCCTCTACTTTAGGAGAAGTAAAATGATACGGAAAAAAAGCTTGCTAGCAGGGATTTATTTTAAAAAGCAAGTTTTAGGCTATGTCCTGGGATCACTTTGATAAAGCCTAGTCTCTTCCTCGTGTCTTACAAGAATACTCTTAATACAGAATCATAACTCTAAGACAACGGAAAACAATCAGTTTACTCAAAACCCTGAGCTATTTACTAAAGCAGGAAGATAGCCTGTGTTCTATAAAAGGTTTCTCGTAGTTACCCATAAAATGTCATTTGGAATTAAACCCATTCCTGACCAGTTGAGATTTTGCTCTCAGTCCAAAACATTCTCTTCTGTAAATGGAATCTTTCTAGGAGAAAGTAGCATTTAGAGCAGGTGCCACGTGTGTGCTCACCTCATCAGAATCCTGCTGTGCTGGCATCCAGAGGGCTCCCTGTCCACTGTGCTGATTTACACTGCCACACACTCAGGCTCACTGCAACACATCTCACAGACCCCCTGGCCATGTGTCAGCATCAAGTCCTGTCGGTTTTACCTTCGAAGTCTATGCTGCCTCTTGTATGCATTTCCACCACCAGTACCCAAACTCTTCCATATCATCCCTAACCCAGCAACAGCCATTGTTGGCCCTGGGTTCCTGCATATCAGCTTCCCACCCTCTCAGAGTTGTGCTCCACTGTGTTGGTTCCCTACACCCTGCCTGCTTGTCCCTCCACAAAGCAGTTTGTTCCCCTTCCCCCCAGGTAGCTCTTACTCACTCTTTATGACTCAGGTCAAGCTACACTCCCTCAAGAATGCTTTCCTGACTTCCTTAACTAGGTTGGTGGCATTAAGTCTGCGCTCTGAAGTACTGTTTACATCACTGTTTAAATTTTGCTTTACCCCCAGATCATTCTGTGAGCTCCTGGAGGGTAGACACTAGGTGAACTTTTGGCTCCCCATTTCAGCCCCTGCACACAGGCATGCAATAAAAATTTGTAGAATGAATAAAAAGAAAAGATTATTATACTTCTGAAGTCGATACCATCAACTCCTAAGGGAACTTAAATATCAAAGAAAAGAGCCCTGAGAATAAAAGGCACCTTGATCACACAGTGTCTTACAACCTTTAGAGAAACCTGCATGTCAAGGGGAAAGACCAGCCTGATCAAGTTCTTATTAATTTTCATCCAACCCATGTTTCTACTTTCTGGACATGCAGTTTTATGCTGTGGAATCAGGATTGACACATTAATAAGGCAAATTAAAAGTCCCAGAGAACAGCTCGTTAGGAAGTCAAACTGCCTTCTTCACATTCAGTAGAATAACTTACACTTTATGATTCTGAAGAAGCATGGGTCTGGTGTTTTTACTTTCGTTAGCCAAGGGTTACCTTCACATTATTGCAGAGGTCCCTTCCTCATAACACAGCTCACGGGTGAGAATCTGGATTTTTTTTTTTTTTTTTTTTTTTTTTTGAGACGGAGTTTCACTCTTGTTGCCCAGGCTGGAGTACAATGGCATGATCTCGCTCACTGCAACCTCCACCTCCCAGGTTCAAACGATTCTCCTGCCTCAGCCTCCCGAGTAGCTGGGATTACAGCCATGCACCACCACACCCAGCTAATTTTTGTATTTTTAGTAGAGACAGGGTTTCACTGTGTTGGCCAGCCTGGTCTCAAACTCGTGACCTCAGGTGATCCGCCTGCCTCGGCCTCACAAAGTGCTGGAATTACAGGCGTGAGCCACCATGCCCGGCCTGAGAATCTGGATTTTTTAAAGCAACAATGGCATAAAAAGAGGTATGTGACAGAATCTTCTGGAGAAAAGACCTCCTTCCCCAGCTGCGTCTTAGACCTACTAACTTCTCATTATTTGTTTGCTCAGTGTTAAAATGAGTAAGTCCATTGTATAAAGCTGTGTGTATTCTGAATATGTTCTTTATCTGCTCAAGATTGTGGCTAATTTCTGACATCCTCTGTTTGGTAGATGAAGTACAGAAAGACAAAGAAGGACATTCTTAATGAAGGAGAAAAGTCCTTTAATCCCAACCTTTCTAACCTGATGGAAAACATCATAACTTTACTATAAACTGCAGACAGGCTGGTCCCACCTTATGGGCACAAAGACATCGGAAGGGAAATAAGGGAACGGGCTTTCTTTGTGGATCAAAACAGAATCCAAGGATGTAGCTGTTAGATGCCGCCAAAACGGCCACACTCAAGAGATTTGGACCTGGGTCAGGCTTTCTGTGCGTTTTGTACCACTTCTGGGGCCAGCTACCACCCAACCACCACTCAGCCACAGAGACACTTATTACAGGTTTATAATTTGACTTGAAAGGTTTTCCCAAAGAAACAAATACTTGTCAGGATCTGTAGCAGAGCCATGTTTTGATTGGGGCTTTTATGGGAGGAGAATGGTGATCTAAATATATAATTTTATTTCAAATTATGCTTGAAAGATGATCAGATTAAAGAAAGTTTGTGTGAGTGTTTTCATGGGCTTGTATTGGAGGGAAGCAGATGACTGGGTCCCAGGAGGCAGAGAAGATGAACTATTGGGCCCTAAGTGTGTTGTAAGGAATAGTACCATCTGTTGGACCTAAGATCCACATGGCAGCAGAGGGTCCAGAATCAGCCACAGCAGATTATTCTAGATTAATGTGAGTAGGGACAGGTTTGGAGAAGTATGGCTAGGAGCACCTGGCAGGTGACTCTGATGCAGGCAGCAAAGGAGTCATTGGTTTCCAGGTCTGCTCTCCACATAACAGAGGGCACTGTCTGTAGAGTACAACAGGCAAGCCTGTGAGGCGGTTTTTCTCATTCTAGTTGTGCTCAATATGCCATTTTGGGGCAGTTTTCAATGCTTTCGAAATCCTGCTAGAATTTAATTTGTATGCAGTTGTGTGTCATTATTAGTCCCCATTTATTTAACATCTTTTCTTGTAATGCAAAATGCTTTAGAAAGCTTTAAAAATAGTTTTAGTTTGTATTGGTCCCAGATAGGAGAATTGAGAGGGGAGATACAATGAAAGTAATAGTAAATAGTAGCTAAGAAGTGAAGTGTCCAGAGACTTGGCCAAGAACTGACCTTCCACACCGTCGGAGATGAAACATTACTGAAACATACAGCAGCTAGACTTACCAAAAAAACGACCAGCAGCAGGTGTCCAGACCCATGCAGGGTCTGCTTGTTTAAGGCAGATTGTAGGAGAGAAATTACTTAACAAAAAATTAACTTTAAACTGTTTGTCTTAATTTAATAGACTGTACTTTGTATTATATCTGATTTTGATATCAGTAATTGCCAAAGTATGACAGAGATGAATGTATGTTTTATGTAATTTTTATTTAAAAGTTCTAATAATTACATAACTTTCTAGTTTGTAAAACACTTTTATGGTTATTTTACACAGCAGCTTTAGGCAGAAGGCAAAGCAAATACTGTTATCCCCATTTTACAGATGATAAAATTGACCTGGTGACTTTTGGCTTTCACACGTGTGCTGACACCCTCAGTTTTTTTCTCCAGTAGCCCTGTGCTGCATCATACCTGGACAGTATGCACATTAGACCAACCACATTTATTCTAAAAAGCTAGTCAAGCCTGGAACTTTTGTCTTAAGTACACACAATTAGCCCTTAGCCAGTGAGTGGCTGGCTGATGTTTCATACTGACATCATAATTGATTAAGTGTGTATTTAATGGATTCAGTTTCTGAAACTGGCACTTTTGCCGGAGCAGCTGTAGGACATAAGTGCAGATTCTAAATCCATGTACCATAACTTGAGTAGCACTGAGTAAATGGACCTGAGAAGAACTGGACAAGTCTCTGTCCCTCTGAGGTTGACTGGGAAGCCTTGGTGGTACTGGGCCGTGGTGCAGGTCCCAGAGGCTGGTGCCAGAGCCCATTCCCTCAGTCTTTGTGTTAATGGCAAGTTAAAGGTTCTCCAGCCAGTCTCATGAGCTTTTCATGAAGAAACGTAAGGAGATCGTCTAGCTCTAAGGAAGTAAGGACCAAAACACCTAGGGCTATGTATGTATTGCTTTGGCTAACACTTTGAAGTAGTCTTTAAGAAGCTTGATAGGATGCAGAGTTGCATCAAAGAAATGCTCACAGGGCCTTGAAGGGTAGCTCCTTGTATGTAGCCCATCTAGCTGCCACGTAGTTGGCATTGATAGCTGGGAGGACAGCGGCTTCCATCCTAGATGTAGGAGGCATAATTAAAAGGACAAAAAACTTTTTGCTGGTGGCCAAAAATGAACACATACCTTGTTCCACATTCTCCAAGCTCCACCAGCATCAGTTTTGTAACTCATTGAAGAGTATCCTCATTAGTTGTCTTCAGGCTCTCAAGTTTGTCAGACATTGCATTCATTCCATCAGCCCACATTTACAGTGCCTATGGTGTGCCAGTCCTTGGGGGGTGCAAGAACAAGTCTCACAGTTTAGGGGAGATGGACAAACATGAGTAAGTAAATATTGTGAGCATGAGCAGAAGTGTGTGCCATGCTGGATAAGAGCCGTCTTAGGCACAGTAGTGGAGGGTAATCTGCAAGGCTTGAACAAAACCAGTTGTCATCAGTGTGCTATAATACTACTGTGACCCAGTTGCTTTGGTGTTCTGAGGCTGCTCTGAGATGCTAATTAAACAGGATGATGATTCAGGTTGCTGTTATATCTCATAAGAAAGAGCCTTTCTGTGAATGAGCAGGCATCAGGCTTGGAGAAGGCTCCCTTAAAGCTTCCCTCAGATAAGGATTAAACAACGCTAGTTGACTCAGTCCTTGCAGTTTGCTACCTCAAGTCAGCGAGCCCTGCCTCTGAGACAGTGACAAAGTCTGGTGAAAGGTTCAAGCTCTGTATCTGGGCCACTTTCCGTTAAAACATGTCCCAAAACTAATAATACCTTTTATAATTTATTTCCCAAGTTTAGAGTATCAAAAAATGTGAGGTTCTTATTAGAGTTCTTTAAAAATAGTTTTTATTCCCTTCCATAATAAAAAATTTACTATTAAAAGATTTTGAAGTTTGGGCCATTCCTTATTTTTAAAATGTGTCTTAATTTAGAAATCATGCTTGGAGCCCCCAATGTGTCTCATTCTTCCTGGGGAGCAGTATTGTATGGACTTACCTCTGCTTGGAGTGAATGTAGTAACACTGTGGTCAAAAACAAAGGACATTTAGCTGTGCAGTGACTTTAATATATTATTTGTAGCATAGGAGGATGATAATGCAAATAGCTACTCCAGGTAAAAAGTATAGAATAAAAATTTAATTAGAAATTGTACTGGCCTGGGTATTGATTTTTGGGTAGAAGGGAAAACCTTACACATGGAAGATACTATAGATAAGTATTTATATTCTATCTTTGGCACCTGGCACCTAGAAAGTACTTTTCAAATGTTGGATAGTTGAGTGAATGAAGGGGGCTAACAGGCGTCATGGTATGGTATGAAGAAAGTTGAACTTGGGGTTCAGAAGAAAAAGAGGTAAAGTTCTAAGTTCTCTTACTAGCTATGTGATCTTTAGCAGGTCACTTTGCTTTAGCCTCTTGTTTCTTCTACAAGAAAAACAGATGTCGAAGACAGACCCAGAGTTCCTTCTTTATTGATCTCCTGATGTCACAATTTGCCTAGTGAAATTGTAGGTTTCACTAGGCAAATTGAGGGAGAAATCTGTTGCATTAAAGAACCTAAGGCCAGGTGCGGTGGCTGATGCCTGTAATCCCAGCACTTTGAGAGGCTGAGGTGGGCAGATCACCTGAGATCAGGAGTTCAAGACTAGCCTGGCCAACATGGTGAAACCTCATCTCTACTAAAAATACAAAGATTAGCTGGGCGTGGTGGCAGGTGCCTGTAATCCCATCTACTCGGGAGGCTGAGGCAGGGGAATCGCTTGAACCCGGGAGGTGGAGGTTGCGGTGAGCCGAGATCATGCCATTGCACTCCAGAGCGACAAGAGCGAAACTCCATCAAAAAAAAAAAAAAAGAACCTAAAAGGAAAATGAACAATCACTTGAGAGTCTTGGGAAATCCCCGTGTATTAGTTTTCTATCATTGTCATAACACCTTACCACAAACTTGTTAATACAGTTCTGCTTACAGTTCTGTAGGTTCAAAGTCCAACACAGGTGTCTTACTGGGCTGGAATTGAGGTGTGGGCTGGGCTTTGGAAAAGTCCAGAGTCTTAGGGGAGAACATGCTTCCTTGCCTTTTAAAAATTCTGCAGCTGCCGCCCTGTCCCTTCTCCCATCTTCCAGGCCAGCAGCATTGCACCTATGACCCTGCTGGCAAATCATCAGGTCTCCCTGAAGCTGACAACTGTAACTCCCTCTGGGGGGGAATCGTTTGCTTTTATGGGCCTGTGTGATTAGATTGGGCCCACCTGGATAACCTAGCATATTCTTCCCATCTCAAGGTCCTTGACTTAATCTCATCCACAAAGTTGATTTTGTATATATAAGATCACAGGTTCTTGGGATTCTGCCTACCATATCCCAAGATCTGATTGCTCTGTAGGAGACAGAACACTGAATGGCTCTCAGGAAACCAGTAATCCAGTAATCCTAGCTCACCCAGTCATTGTGTCTCTCTGGGTTTCTTTTTTCCGCATCTGAAAAGTTGGGGAGTTGAATTAGACCAGTGGTCCTCAAACTGCATTGTACATCAGAATAGCCTGGAGGACTTCTCACAACACAGATTTAGGTGGGGCTCAAAAGCGTGCATTTCTGCCAAGCACAGTGGCTCACGCCTGTAATCCCAGCACTTTGGGAAGCCAAGGCAGGTGGATCACTTGAGGTCAGAAGTTCAAGACCAGCCTGGCCAACATGTTGAAACCCCGTCTCTAGTAAAAAAACAAAAAGTTGCCAGGTGTGGTGGTTCATGCCTGTAATCCTAGCTACTTGGGAAGCTGAGGCACGAGAATCACTTGAACATGGGAGTCGGAGGTTGCAGTGAGCCAAGACTGTGCCACTGCACTCTAGCCTGGGTGACAGAACGAGACTCTGTCTCAAAAATAACCCAAAAAACAAAACTGCATTTCTGACAAGTCCCTGAGTGTTGCTGATGCTGCTGTTCCAGGGGACCACACTTCAAAAACCACTGAACTAAACTGTCTTTAAGGATCTTTCTCTAAGTCCCTAATACAGCCTGAGAGTCTTTCCCCTTTGGATGCAATGTTATAAATTAATCATAGTGGAGTTTGCACACTGCTTGCCAGGTTGTGGAGTTGAGGTAGGAAGCAAATGGACATTGTTCAGATCTAAGCTCCACGTCTTCTCTTTCCTCTTGTAAACCGGGATGGTGATGAGGCCTGCTGTGTGGTTGCTTTTCATGAGATGGTCTTTGTAGATTATCTAGCATATGTCTGACACATGGTCATCTTGGGTCACATTTACTTAGCACTTTTGACCCAGCCACTGTTTTAAGCCTGAATTAATTCATTTAACCCTTATGACATTTCTATGAGGTGAGTGCTATTATTAGTCCCACGTCTGTAGGTTGAGGAACAGAGGTTAGGAGTTTGGCCAAGAAGGCAGAGCTAGAAAGTGGAGCCACTTACCAGGCAGTTATTTAGGTTCCAGAGCATGCATACTTAACCCTTCTACAGCAGCACCCAAGTTTCCTGTAACAAGGCTAGAGGTGGCCTGGTCCTGGGTTTGGGTGATTTAGTGCTTGACAGTGTCATGGTAGGCCCAGGTCTCTCCATCTTGCCACTCTTCTGTCCTCAGCAGGCTGGCTTTGTCTTCAGGGCTGTCCCCTCATGGTGATACTGTGGCTGCCACAGATCCCACTGTCTAATCCTCACAGAGGCTGCGCAAGAAAAATTACCTGTTCCTCCCTCTTGTCTCTTTTTGAGAGGGTGAAACTTTCATGCTTGTAATCTTAGCACTTTTGGAGGCTGAGATGGGAGAATTGCTTGAGCCCAGGAGTTCAAGGACAGCCTGGGCAACATAGTGAGACCCTGTCTCTACAAAAACATTTTTTGAAAAAGCTGGATGTGGTAGCACACACCCTGTAGTCTCAGCTACTCGGGAGGCTGAGGTCAGGAGAATCACCTGAGCCTGGGAGGTAGAGACTGCAGTGAGCCATGATTGTGCCACTGCACTCCATCCTGGGTGACAGAGCAAGACATCGTCTCAAAATATATTAAAAAAAAAAAAAAAAAGGTTGGGGGGAGTGCAAAATGTTTTCAGAAGCCCTTTTTCCTGCAGACTTTCCTACCAGAAATGCTTGACCATACCCATTCCTAAATGGCCACCACTCACTGTGATTCATCCCCCAGGGTAGGGAGGGCCATATCTTCGGGCCTCTTGAGTAAGAAAGTGGCAGCAGGAGGCCAGATGCGATGAGGTCAGGAGTTTGAGACCAGCTTGGCCAATATGCAAAACCCCATCTCTACTAAAAATACAAAAATTAGCCTGGCGTGGTGGCATACGCCTGTAATCCCAGCTACTCAGGAGGCTGAGGCAGGAGAATGGCTTGAAACTGGGAGGCAGAGGTTGCAGTGAGCCAAGATTGCGCTACTGCACTCCAGCCTGGGCGACAAAGCAAGACTCCATCTCAAAAAAAGAAAGTGGCAGCAGACATGGCTGCAGGTTGGCCACCGATGGACTACCCACACTCCCTTCTCTGAAGTTGATAGTCCTTTTGATTCTGAGATGCTCTGTGGCACTGACAAAGGTCGACAGAGTCTAGGGCTACTAGAAATGCTGTGAACTTGTCCTTGGTTTACTCCAGACCAAATGATCTTTTCTCTCTTAACAAGGGTGCGAGGGCACATGATAAACATTTACTGATTATGGGCACCCAGAAGGACCTTGATCTTCTGAGAGCAGGGCAAAGCTTTTGAAGGACTAATCTCTTCCAGCCCTTGTTCCTACCTCTTTTGTCTCTGGAGGATGCCAGAGATGATCATCCAGAATCTCAGCTCTGACCTGGAACAAGTTATTTTCCCTTTGGTGTCTCAAGAGTTTCACGTGAAGCATTAGGAGTGCCTGCCAGGTGGAATAGTGCAGAGGGCTGGATGAGATCATTCAGTCTGAGCGTGGCGAGCGCTTGGGCTTTGCTGTTGCTGGCGTTAGTGTAGTTTTCCATCAGTATCTGTGTCGGGGGCCTGAGCCAGCTCAGTGTAATTGCTTAGGGAACACTTTTATTTTTCATAGAAGCAGGAACAAGTTTCTGTCTCTTCCAGCTAGTCTTGCTGGTTGTGTGCCTCTGCTATCTGAAGAGCCAGCATCCTTAGTAGGGTCACATGTGGTTGAGTTTTATGAATGTGTTTGTTGCTGATAGGACACATTTCTTACCTGACAGGATGAGCACTCACAGCAGCCACATCACAGGGCTGACAGAGATGTGCCCCACTTTAAGAAAACCTGACCATATAAGGAGGAGTGTCTCAATTACAAAATAATGTCTCACTTAGCCAGAAATTCATGGCAGGTTTTCTGGTGCATTTAAAATAAGATTCATGTATAAAAATACCATTTGCACACAGGAGCCCATATTTTCTGAAAAGGGAAATGTATTGGGCATTTGGGGTAAGTAGATCAAAAATAAAAATAAAATCTTCTTACAAATACAAGAACTAGAAACCAAATTCCACTTCTAATTCTAAAAGGTTTATATATAACTCTACTACCTTACCCTCTCTTACCCCAGATTTTCACAGCAGAAGTAAACAGGGAAGATCTGCAGGCCGCTCACGATAGCAGCAAGGAAATGCCTGGCATAGTGTGTGGGTGGGTGGATGGCGGGGGTACCAGAGGCAGGGCTGGGGACCCCACTCTGGCATGTCCTTTATGACATGGATTGCTCATCTCACCCTGCTGTATTGTTGATTTGAGAACATTTGTGAGGCTTGGTCTAAAACATTATTGCTGGATCCCTTCCCATGGTGTGGTCAGTGAATGGCATTTAGAAATTGACCAGCTCATCCTGCCACCACGGACTCCTCTAACCACAGAGACACGTGCTGAGGTCTAACAGATGGGGACCAGGGAAGGCCTGGAGGAGAGGGCCAAATCTGGGATACTGACATGCCTGACTTTTCCCTTCCTTTCAGAAATGTTCCCACTGCCAGGAGGCAGGCGCCACCTTGGGCTGCTACAACAAAGGCTGCTCCTTCCGATACCATTACCCGTGTGCCATTGATGCAGGTAAGAGGAGACCACAGACCCTTGTCCAGAGCATCCAAAGGATTAGGACATACAGTTTGATTCTCTCTGTTGTCGTTGTTTTTTTTCTTTTCTTTTCTTTTTTTTTTTTTTTTTTTTTGTCACTTCATAAAAAAACTTCCCACCCATTAGCAGCACTCATCTCCCTTCCCTTCCCTCCAGTCCCTGGCAACCACTATTCTGTTTTCTTTTTTAAATTTTTATGATTTTTTTTTCCCTTTAAGCTCTGTTGGACTCAATCCTTTCTATCTCTGTGGGCTTTGCTGTACATTTGGGTTACTTCCACTTTTTGACTGTTATGAATAATGCTGCTATAGAACATTCACATGCAAGCATTTGTGTGAACATGTTTTCAGTTCTCTTGGATGTGTACCTGGGAGTAGAATTGCTGGATCATATGGTAACTCTGTTTAACCTTTTAAGGAACTGTCAGACTGTTTTCCAAAATGGCTGCCCCATTTTACGTTCTCAGTGGCAGTGCATGAGTGTTCTCCTTTCCCCAGGTCCTCCCTGACACTTGCTGTCATATGTGTTTCTTTTTTTTTTTTTTTTTAATTGTAGCCAGCCCAGTGGGTATGAAATGTTATTTCATTGTGGTTTTTATTTGTATTTCCCTGATGGCTAATGTCGAGCATTTTTTTCTTGTGCCTATTGGCCATTTGTACATCTTCTTTGGAGAAATAGCTATTCACATCCTTTGCCCATTGTAAAATTGGGTTGTTTATCTTTTTAATGTCAAGTTTTAAGAATTATTTGTAGGCCGGGCGGGTGGATCATGGGGTCAGGAGTTCAAGACCAGCCTGGCTAAAATAGTGAAACCCCGTCTCTACTAAAACTACAAAAATTAGCCAGATGTGACGCGCACCTATAGTCCCAGCTACTCGGGAGTCTGAGGCAGGAGAATCACTTGAACCCGGGAGGCAGAGGTTGCGAGATCACGCCACTGCACTCCAGCCTGGGCAACAGAGTGAGACTCTGTCTCAAAAAAAAAAAAAAAAAAAAAAAGAATTATTTGTAATTCTGGATATGTGGTTTGCAAATGTTTTCTTCCATTCTCTGAGTTGTCTTTTTACTTTCTTTTCTTGATAGCATCACACAGGTAATTCACCATTGGACACCAACTGGGTGTCCTATAGTTTAGCTTGGTTCTGATACTAAGCAGAGTTAGTGCAGCCCCTACAGGTTAAGGGCTCAGTCCCACAAGACCGCTCCCCACTTCATATACCAATCTCAAGCCCTGTGTTATGACCTGTGTTTCTGAGTGATCAACTATAAACTGGGGTTCCCAAGACCGCTTCCTTGGGTTTGATTAATGTTTAACATGGCTCACAGAATTCACGGAAACACTTCACTTGTGTTTACCCATTATAAAGGATGCAGATGAACAGCCACATGAAAGAAACATAGGGCCAGATGTGTGGGCAGGGGCATGGAGCGTCCATGCTCTCTCCAGGGGCACCACCCCTGAGGCACCTTCATCTACTCAGCAGTCCAGAAGCCCTCTGAATCCAGTAGTTCACGGATTTTTTGGAGGCTTCATCATGTAGGCATAATCAATTATTAACTCAATCTTCACCCCCTCTGTCCTTCCTGGAGTGGGGTGGGTAGAGCTAACAGTTCCAAGCTGCTAATCACAGCTTCGTCTCTCTGGTGCCCAGCCCCCATCCAGGAACCACCAAGAGTAGCCTTAGAACAAAAAGTGCTCCTATCCAGGAAATTCCAAGGGTTTAGGAGCTCCATGTCAGGAACCAGGATCAAAAACCAAATATTAGAAGAAAAGATGCTCCTAGCACCCCTAATTGCTCAGGAATTTACACGGGTTTTAGGAGGTCTGTGCCAGGAATCAGGGATGAAGACTAAAATATGTATTTCTTACTCTAAATCACAGTACGTTGTATACATACAATAGAGTGTTGTATTTTCTTTGCTGAGATGATAGGGGGATGTTTTGCAGTGTGTTAACTGTTGAAAGAAGGGAAACATTTTGTTAAAGAAGTGCCATCCAATGAGTGACGCAGAAGACTTGAGTTTTGACTCAGAGCTTCGATAACCTGGGAAAATCACCTTTCTTACTCTAGACTTTTAGTCCCTTCAGTGGGTGTTTTCCCCAGTTACTTTTTTGGCGGCAAGGTGGGTGTTAATTTCAAGTTTATTAAGTTTTTTACTTTTCTTTTTGAGACGAAGTTTCGCTCTTATCGCCCAGGCTAAAGTACAATGGCATGATCTCAGCCCACTGCAACCTCTGCCTCCCAGATTCAAGTGATTCTCCTGCCACAGCCTCCCGAGTAGCTGGGACTACAGGCGCCCACCACCATGCCCGGCTAATTTTTGTATTTTTAGTAGAGACGGGGTTTTGCCATGTTGGCCAGGCTGGTTTCAAACTCCCGACCTCAGGTGATCCACCCACCTCAGCCTCCCAAAGTGCTGGGATTACAGACGTGAGCCACCGCGCCCAGCGTTTTTTACTTTTTTTAATGGACAGTAATTGTAGATATGGGGTGCTCAGTAATGTTTCAATATATATATAAAATGATCAGACCTAGGTAATTAGCAAATCCATCGTCTCAAACAACATGTCTGTGTTGGGAACATTTGGTATCTTCTAGTCATTTGAAACTATACAATATAATGTTGTTAACTGTGGTTATCCTACAGTGATACAGAATACTAGAACTTATTTCTCCCATCTAGATGTAATTTTGTATTCTTTAACAAATCTCTACTTATCTCTTCCTTTCCTTTCCCCTTCCTGGCCTCTAGTATCCTCTGTTCTACTTTTTAATACTTCCGTAAGATCAGCTTTTTAAATTTCCACATGAGCGAGAACATGCAGCTTTTAACTTTCCGTGCCTGGCTTATTTCACTTGACATAATGTCCTCTAGTTACTTGAGCATTAGATGTATCTAAGACCATCACCCAGGCAGCCCCCATAATGCCTGTGGTCACGTTTGAGGAAAAGTGGTGAGAGAAGGCAGCAAGTAGCATGGTGCTTGTCATGTGCATGCCCCCTCTCTGTGCTTCCCCAGGAGAGAAGCAGGGCTGTCCACGGAGGCAGCCACGCTGTCCATAGGAGGCGGGGTTTGATTTGAATTTGATGGGAAGGGGAAGAGGGCGTGGCTGACTGCATGATGGGAACAGGCGTGAGGCATAACATACACAGAGCAGGGCCAACAGACTTGGATCAGGTCTCAGAATTCATCCTGCCCCCCCCTTCCTTCCAGCGCAGCAGTTGCTTGCAGCTCCTGACTTTTGTTTAAGCATATGTCTCCATTCCTTTCACATCCTTCTTGCCCTTACCTCCCCCTTCCCTCTTTTCTCTCCAAGCTTCTGTAGGAGAAACAGTTAAAAAGAACAAGAGAGGTAGAGAAGATAATGCTGATGCCAGTTAGACTATTACAAAAGTGTGTGTATTCACACGTACATGTGGACTGAAAGGCAGCTTGATGGCCAAGGCACTATTTGATCAACGGAAAGATAGGGAATCAGAAACAGAGTGCCAGGTGTGGTGGCTCACACCTGTAATCCCAGCACTTTCGGAGGCTGAGGTGGGAGGATTGCTTGAGCCCAGGAGTTCGAGACCAGCCTGGCCAACATGGTGAAACCCTGTCTCTACAAAAAATACAAAAAATTAGCCAGGCGTGGTGGCCCTTGTCTGTAGTCCCAGCTACCCAGGGAGGCTGAGATGGAAGGACCCAGGAGGGGCTGCATGACCCTCAGTTGGGCCACTGCACTCCAGCCTGGGCAACAGAGTGAGACCCTATCTCAAAACAAAAATGAAGTAGCCTTGAAATGTCAGTTCAGGGAGTTTGGGTTTTAGTCCATCCCTTCTGTTCTCTTTTTTCCTCCAAATGTTTTCATGTTGAGTCTAAGGTGTAATTTACCCTGGGTCATGGTCTGCCATATTCTGTAGTACAGCTGTTAAATCCTTCTCTTTCAAGAGCTAACCAGTTGGGCCAGGCACGGTGGCTCACACCTGTAATCCCATCACTTTGGGAGGCCGAAGTGGGCGGATCACAAGGTCAGGAGATTGAGACCAGCCTGGCCAACATGGTGAAACCCTGTCACTACTAAAATATGAAAAATTAGCCAGGTGTGGTGGCGCGTGCCTGTAGTCCCAGCTACTTGGGAGGCTGAGGTAGGGGAATCGCTTGAACCCGGGAGGTGGAGGTTGCAGTGAGCTGAGATCACGCCACTGCACTCCAGCCTGGCAACAGAGCGAGACTCTGTCTCAAAAGAAAAAGAAAGAGAGCTAACCAGTTAACTAGGTATGGTGGTTCACACCTGTAATCTCAGGTACTCGGGAGGCTGAGGCTAGAGGATCACTTGAGGCCAGGAGTTCAAGTTCAGCCTGGATAACATAGCAAGAACAGGTCTGTTCAAATAAAAATAAGTTTTTAAAAGAGCCAACCAGTTGCCTTTTCTCATTTTCATTACCTCTAGTTACATCGTAATATTGTGTTTTCTTCCCTGTAGTCTAGTGGCCAGGAAAGAGGGGGAGCAGTAATATAAAGTTTTGTTTCTAGTTGAAAAAAATGGCTTTTTTTTTTTGTTTTTTGAGACAGAGTCTCGCTGTGTTGCCCCGACTGGAGTGCAGTGGCGCGATCTCGGCTCACTGCAAGCTCCGCCTCCCGGGTTCACGCCATTCTCCTGCCTCAGCCGCCCCAGCAGCTGGGACTACAGGCGCCCGCCGCCACGCCCGGCTAATTTTTTCTGTTTTTAGTAGAGACGGGGTTTCACCGTGTTAGCCGGGATGGTCTCGATCTCCTGACCTTGTGATCTGCCCACCTTGGCCCCCCAAAGTGCTGGGATTACAGGCGTGAGCCACCGCGCCTGGCCAAGAAAATGGCTTTTAAGTGAAAAAAAAAAAAATTTTTTTTGAGACAGGGTCTCACTGTGTTGCCCAGGCTGGACTCAAACTCTTAGGCTCAAGCGATCCTCCCAACTAGCTGGGAATACAGGCATGTACCATTATGCCCAGCTATATATGAGGATTTTTAAGTATTAAGTTTTTTTATGGTTGATTGTTAGTTTTATATTGGGAATACTGTGAGTTTTGGCTCTCCCAGTTCGCAGCTGGGTAAGAAGTGGTCCCCCACTGAGGCTGTGTTCAGGGACACATTAGGGTGTGCTGACAGGCCGGTGCCACATCCCACCCGAGCACACTTCAGCAAGGGCCCCCCTGGAGGCTGCCCCCGTTCTGCTGATAGCCTGCCTTCTGGTCCAGCTTCTAAGATGTCAAGCAGCAAAGCTCAGCCTAACATACTGCAATGATGGAAACGCTCTAGCTCAGCACTCTCCAATGTGGTAACCACAAACCAGATGTGATCATTGAGTGCTAGTGGGACTGAGGAAATGAATTTTTTTTTTTAATGTAAACTTAAGTGGCCATGTATGGCTAGTGGCTGAACAGCACAGGCTTAGAGCTACCCTCCTCAACCCAAGTTCAGGCAATATGGTTGGGATTTTTTGGAAGGGGCCATAGAGCACTGGAACATCCTCTCCTCTAGTGGAAGCTTGTGCCCAGGTTGTCACCCCAGCCCACCAGCAGAGAAGCGCAGGACCCTCATTATTAGCTGAGGACTTGTGAGTAAATGGTGTCTGTCATTTTCTGTTTTGGGGCCCATCTTGGTAGCCTGCCTAGTTAAGCTGGTAGCATCTCTATTTAACAGAAGTTGGTGGCCGCGTGTCCAGCAAGACAGAGGGGTCTGGGTTGGGAGGAGTGAGGGTAGGGCTGTCGGCCTCTGGCTTTGCTGCCTCTGCTGCTGTGCACTTTGCTCCTTCATGTGGAGACCTGGGACCCAGAGGCAGTTTCACAAGATGACCATGTCTTGGTCATTGCGGTCTTTTTGATGACCCAAGTCACAGTGACCCAGAGGCCTGCACTGCTCTGTGGGGATGGACGCTTGTATTATTCCACACAGTCTTCTTGGAAATTGCTCTCTGTGTATGATGTAACTTTGTATCCAGGAAACAAGTTTATTGATGGACTTTTCTTTCTAATCATAACAAAAATAAGTCCTTGGTTTGAGAATCCCTAACCTCCCTTATGGAGTAAAGAGCAGTTTAACATTTTCATCTCTGCCTTGCTGTCAACCCACCCAGATCTTTAAAGAGCTGTTGATGTCTCAGGGAAGACTTTTATTACTGGGACATCTCCATAGAAACAGAATCTTTGTTTCATGATCTGTGACTCCTGCCACCTTCCCCCCCACCTGATGTTGACCCTGCATTTCTGACATCATGGTCAGCTGTTTTGTGTTGCTTGTTATGTCATAGGCACAGGATTTGGCTCCAGGTGGGGGGGGTTACAGTAATAAGAGCATGAGCTCTGTTTTTTTTTTTTTTTAATTAATGTATTTAATGCAATGAGCCACAACAATTAAGACGAGAAAAAAAGGCTGTGGTAGCTCATTAATAATTCCACTGTGCGTAAAGAACCTTGTGTGGAGGGTTTTTTTTTTTTCTTCTACTCTCATGAAAAAACAGCTGGGAATTCTACTTTCTGCAGCTCTCGTTGCAGTAGCATTTTAAAGCTGCTATCTCTGCTGCAGACTTTGATCTTGCTGGTGCCATCAGAGCCCTGGATGGGTCATTAGGAAATGCCAGTAGTCTGACTCCTCCCCGGGGGACAGCCGTCTGCCTCACAGGAGCCAGTCCCAGTGCCAAGAGCCCCATATTTCCCTCCTTATGGCCCAGGAGCCTGAGCCTACCCTTCGGCAAGGCAGGGTGGGGCTGGCAGGCCCCTGTGTCCCAAGCCCTGCAGTGTGCCAACATAAGGAATAACAGTAGTACTGGGGTAGAGTGTAGGTGAATTGGAGTCTGTGTCTGCTACACAACAGATCCAAAGGACATTAAACCCTTCTTGTTTTTCCTACCTCCCTCCTTGAGCCCACCATCCTCAGCCTGGGAGCATGTGGATGCATGTGGGTATCTGAAGCTTCACAGAGCTTATAATGAGGAGCTTAGTAAATCCATTCTGCCTTTGAGCTTGAAGAGGGAAATGAAAGTGGCCTTCTCTTCTGGGGGTTGATGTTTGTGTCTGCAAGCCATCTTGTTGACTAGGCCACCTTGTAGGTCTTTTTGAGCTTGGATGATGATCTCGCAAGCTGTTTACTTTGACTTCACTATGCAGAAGTGCTGACTGCGCCCTCTGGACAGTGTAGGATGGTGCCTGGGCCTTGAAGAACACAGATTGAGAGACCTTGACTGGCTGGCCATGTAGGTGCAGTTGCCTGTTCAGAGTCCTCAGAAGAGGTTTTACTACACCTACTGCTCTTCACTCTTCCCTCCCAGCAGGGACTGGTAAGAGGAGAAGCTCCCCTGTGCCCTCCAGGTTTCTGAGCTCTCTAGCTGTGGTTCTGGCCCCTGCCAGGAACGTGAATTGTGCTTCCTGACGGCCTGTGGACATGTATGAGAACAGAGGAGGGCATTGTCTGCACAGTGTTCCTGCATGGGAGGCCTTGTCAGAGATGGACACTGCCTCAGGCAGATTGCTGTAGGAGACTTCATTTCCAGATGTATCTGGCATTAGTTTCAAGTTGTCGTTAGCGTGCATTCATAGTGTCTTACTCTTTTCTGCTTCTAACTCAGAGGGAACGCATTTCCTAACATGAGGCGTGTTTTATTAATGGTCCATCACAGCTGGTCACTGTTCTGTGGCCGTGAGGGAACTGAGCCACCTGCGCCTTTCTGATGGCACCCTTTGCTGCTCGTGTGGTCCCTGTCCTCACTGGTATAAACCCCTGTGGCGTAAGCGTGGCCCAGCCCCACGTGTGCTGTACTGTTTCTGTTTGGCCCAAACTAGAGACTAAGCCAGCATAGTGCTTGCTGCCAGAGCCCAGGTAAGAAGAGAGCATATCCCCTGAGCTCCAGTTGTCTGGCTCCTGCTGTTTATAAACTCTCTGGCAGATTGGAGCAGCGGGAGTCTTGGTCACACTATGTACTTGTGGGTTTTAAATTAACACATTTCATTTATTGCCTTGCTAGTTGCTTGCTGGGGGAGGGGCTTGGAGGTTAGTAGTAAGTTGCTGAGCTCTTGGGCCCACGGAGCCAAGAAGGCTGCCGCCCACTCTCTTAGATACTCATGGGCTCCAACGAAAGACAGGCTATGATGTTCCAGGTCTGGCCAAATATAAAAGGGTCTTTTTGATTTGTTTTAGGATACCGGGACCTGAAAAGTTTTCATGTGTATGTTCATTGCTTATTACTATTGCACTTGAAATCTGTGGGTGCACAGGCTGCTAGTCTGGATCTCAGTTTAAATTTAACAAGGATAAGTACCGTGGCTGCCTCCTGCCATGGTGCCTGGGAGCTCTCTGAGAATGTGTTATCAATATTTATTAACATTCTGCCACCGCGTTTTGCACCAGTGACCTGGCTGTCGGTCTCCAGGAGCTGTGGTGTGCAGAGTGAACTCATTAATTAGATTTCCTTGCCCTGATCCATGCACTACCCTTGTGTGAGAGCTCAGCTCACCTGGAGGCAGATGTGTCCTTGCTGCCATCCAGGATGCTGTCATCATGTTACAAGTTGGAATGAATCATTTTTCCTCCAAGGATTAAAAGCATCCTCATGGGATTTTACCTTCCTCTGAAGCATTTAGTGTGGATTATGTGATTTGTGTTGGAGGCTTCTGTGTCTCCGTGGGTCGTGGGGCAAAGGTGACAGTGGGGCTCTTGGGCCTGGCCACCTTTCTGTCTCAGACACCTGGGCATTCTCTGTACAGAGAAGAAAATACGCGTCTAGATTTTAAAGTGTTTTTACAAGGAGGCTTTGGCTTGAGCCTGAGAAATGGGGTTAGCCTAGAATCAAGGATTTTTAAAATAGCATTTATTGGTGATATCGTGGGAATATAGAAAAGATAAAATTTAAATCAGCTGTATCTTCTTACCCAAAGAGAATTATTGTTACATATTCATAGATTTCCTTTCAGTCTTTTTTTTTTTTTTTTTTTTTTTTTTTTTGAGACGGAGTCTCGCTCTGTCACCAGGCTGGAGTGCAGTGGTGTGATCTCGGCTCACTGCAACCTCCGACTCTCTGGTTCAAGTGATTCTCCTGCCTCAGCCTCCCAAGTAGTTTTTTTTTTTTTTAAGACAGTTTTGCTTGCCTAGGCTATAGTGCAGTGATGTGATAGTAGCTTACTGCAGTCTGAACTCCTGGGCTCAAGCAGTCTTCTCACCTCAGCCTCCCAAGTAGCTGGGACTATAGGCAAGTGCCATCACACCCAGCCTTTCAGTATTTTTTTTTTTTTTTTTAATAGTGACAGGATCTCACTGTGTTGCCCAAGCTGGTCTTGACTCTTGGATTCAAGTGATCTTTCTGCCTCGGCCTCCCAAAGTGCTGGGATTACAGGTGTGAGCCATGGTACCCAGCCCCAAGTCTTTTTTTAATGCGTAGAAACATTTTAATAAAATTAGCACATTTATACATTTGTACATCCTGGTTTTTTCAAGCAGTTTTGTTTCATGGGTGTTTTCCATACCATTAACTCTTTTCAAATGTTAATTTTTAAGTGACCGATATCCATCATGTTAAGGTATCATAGCTTACTTGGGTTGTCTCTAATGTTTTCCTATTAGAAGTAAGTGTAGCGACCTGCTACCTTTATGTCTGACCCTGTCAATCCCAGCCAGCATGACCACACCTATGTCCAGCTGTGAAGTCTCCATCTGACTGTCCCCTTCTGTCTTCCAGATTGTTTGCTACATGAGGAGAACTTCTCGGTGAGGTGCCCTAAGCACAAGGTGAGTCAGAGGCCCCAAGAGCTACCAGCAGGGATGGGATCGAGGGTGGCTCCTCCTGAAAGACCTGAAGACCAGGTGTTGGTGGGCCTCACCCACACCTGTCCCCACCTGTGCCTCCGGCTGTTAGTCCCCTCCTGGCCCTGGGAGGGTGGAGGGGCATGATGCTGAAGGGAGACCCGTGGCATGGGGGCCAGCACTCGGAGTATTATGAGGATCCCAGGAGAAATGTGTTTTGGGAGAGGGGGTGTTTGTCTGTTCATTAAGAGAGGTGAGAATATCTAACTCGATCAAGCCACTGATTTCCACTTGAGGTGAATAGAACCCCAATTCACAGGTTGGCGTTTGGTAAGTCTGGTTCTAGGCCTTGAGGCCTGTGCAAAGGCATCTTCCCAGACTAGAAGTCGAGCTGACCACAAGGCTCTGGGGAAGCTCAGTCTCTTCCAGGTTGTGCTTCTGCAGAAGCAGCCTGATGCACAGTGGATGGGCTGTCTCGGGCTCCACTTCCCAGTTTATTTAGGAGGTGGTCTCGTGGTCGCTTCCTTTAGGAAAGGGTGGGAGGTAAGGGGTGAATGGTCTGTTTGTGGATACCACATATGTGTGTGGGGAGGGTGTATATGGAGAAGGAGCCCCAAGAAAGGATCAGAACGGAGACCACTGCCACCTGATGTTTCCTGCAGGGGCTGCACTGTGTCTCTGGCTGAGGTCACACTGACACCTGGTGGTCACTGGTCACTCGCAGTCTTAAATCTAGTAGGGCCGAAAGTACTAGAAGGAGGTTGTCCAGAGAGGTCTGCCCTCAAAATGCTCCTGAAAGATGCTTGCTTATGCTTTTCTTTAAAAATTATTTCTGGGGAAGGGCGGGGAGTGGTCACAGGATCTTATATTCTCTTTATTTTTACTTAATTTGCATGTTATTTTTAGAACTCCCCTTTTTAAGGGTCACATTTTGCCTCAGAAAACCCTGTCTGAATGTCTCCTGTTTGTCGGTCAGGACTGACTCTGCCTTTTCTTTCCTTTTCCATGTGCCACTCCTGTCCTCCCTTTGCCCTCCCTGATTTCTGCACTGTCCTCTCCCACCTGTCTGTCTCCTCTTGGTTTTGCCCGTGTCAGCCTCCCCTTCCGTGCCCTCTCCCCCCCTTGCAGAACAAGACCGCGAAAGGCAGCCTCAGCACAGAGCAGTCGGAGCGGGGGTGAGGGGGGCAGTGTGCTCGTGGGAATGGAAAGGACAGCAAGCACAGGTGAGTCGGGGCCACCGGGCTCCCTGCATCCTGCCCGGCTCCCAGCAGGCGTCGTTGCCTCTGCCCTCCTGCTCGCTCTATGCTCTGCCACCAGCATTTCATCCTGTGGATGACAACGCCAGGTGGATGCAGTGTTCTTCCATTGGTTACTTAGCTCCCCAGATTATCTGTGGAAAGGAGTGGGGGCTTCTAAACTGTCCACTGCCAATGGGGTGCAGGGTGACTGTTCCTGAAGGCAGCCCTTCAGGGCACAGCTGGCCAGGGGTGGCCTTGTGAGTGGACACAACAGGCTTTTAGGTCTCTTTCTTGGGCAGGGCATCTCTTGCCAGTAGCCCCTGCTCTTTCCCCCGTCTCAGAAAGGGTTCCAGTCAAAGGTCTCTTCTTTTTAATTTACTACATTTCTGTAAAGCTTATGGTGTGTTTTCCTTTGAAAACAACAGAACTCTTGGGTTTTGTTATTAGAAATCTTTTTTTTCCAGTATTATGAAGGATTCCTTTTTGCAGAAGTACAAAGGAAAGAAAAATCCTCAAAGATTTAGTAGACTCTAGCATCTGATTTAATTTTACTCTTAAAAATCTCGAGGCTGGGCATGGTGGCTCATACCTGTAATGCCAGCACTTTGGGAGGCTGAGGCAGAAGGATCGCCTAAGCCCAGGAGTTCAAGACCAGCCTGGGCAACAGTGAGACCCTGTGTCTACATTAAAAAAAAAAAAAAAAATTAGCCGTGCGTGGTGGTACATGCCTTTAGTCCCATCTACTCAGGAGGCTGAGCTGGGAGGATCACTTGATCAAACCTGGAGGTTGAGGCTGCAGTGAGCCATGATCGTGCCGCTACATTCCAGCCTGGGCCACAGTGAGACCCTGTCTCAAAAAAAGAAAAAAAATTCTTGTGATTGAGTTGTGCTTGCTGTGAGTTTGTGTGGGATTATTGTGGTCACGGCCCTCTTGGCAGGCATCTGTGAAAACAGGATGATAGGACTTGGGGTCTCTAGAAGCTGCAGGCCTCTGAGCTCCATGCTGCTCCTTCACCCTCCCTGCGTCACTGAGGCATGAAGGGAAATAGGTTGTAAAGAAAAGAAAAACCAAAATGTACCTTGTGGCACTTGCTGCTACAGGATGGGGCAGGAGGACTAGTTGTCTCAGAAATATTCATTGAGGGGTCATTTCTCTCAAATGGGAGGACTTCTGTGTCGACCTCAGGAGTTTGACTCACACAGCTACGCTAGACGTGTCCCTTCCGGCACCACCATGTGCCTGACCACCTTCTGGAACGTGCCCTCCTCCTTGTTACCACTACTAATTTCCGGAGAAGGCCCCTCGGCTGCCACGCCATTTGAGAAGTCAAGTGGGGGCTGCTGAGTGCCTTCTTGATAGAGCGTTGAGTGTGGTGCCTTTCTCTTTCCTCTTCCGGGGAGTAGGGCTGGCAGTGAAGGGATCAGAGCAAAGTGGGGAGGTGGGTGGAAGCCATTCCATGTGTTCCTGGGTCAGAGGAACCAGATGAGCAAATGAAGCCTCTTGGACTTGGAGTACATTGCCACCATCAGCGAGTGGCTGCTGGTTTTCCAGAACCTGCTGGGCAGCACTGCCTGCTCCTTTTCCTGGGATTAGCCCTTAGGACAAGGCAGCCATTGCATTGCGTGGTTTTGAAAGGACTGTTTCTGTTGGCCCTCCTGCATGTCCCTACGCTCCTGAGGGTGTCACTGTGCCTTCCCATTGTCACCCCTGTGCCAGCACAGGCCAAGATGGTTAGAGTCAAGTTCTGTAGGGGACCACGATGCGTATTCCTGGAATGTGTCCTAGAAGACCTGGTTAAGGAAAGAGCTTAAGTGTTTTTTGTTTTTGTCCTGGAATTGCATCTGTGTTTGAGAAAAAGAAAGTTCAGGCCCTGGGCCTGGTGGACAAATCTCCTGGGGATTTTGTTCATCTGTTCCTCTCTAGTCATTCTTGGGCCTTCCTTCCTAGCTGTCAGGGCCCTTGACTCTTTTTTTTTTTTTTTTTGGAGACGGATTCTCACTTTGTCGCCCAGGCTGGAGTACAGGGGCACGATCTCGGCTCACTGCAACCTCCATCTCTGGGGTTCAGGCGATTCTCCCGCCTCAGCCCTCCCGAGTAGCTGGGACTACAGGTGTGCACCACCACGCCCAGCTAATTTTTGTATTTTTTGTAGAGATGGGGTTTCACCATGTTGCCCAGGCTGGCCTTGAACTCCTGACATCAAGTGATCTTCCCGCCTTGACCTCTCAAAGTGCCGGGATTACAGGCGTGAGCCACGGCGCCCGGCCAACTCTTGAACAGAACAATGAGCTTCATCCTTCTGGGTTGAAGCACAGTGATGAAGTGGCCTCACCCATTGAAGAGAGTCGTCTCAGGTCCATTGAGGTTGAACCATTCCATTCAGCTCTTGGAGGGAGAGGATGGACTCACTGCATCCAGTCCTGTCCATCTGAAATGTTTTTTATGTGCTGTTCCCACAAGGCATATAGCTTTTCCTGGTTTCCCAGTTCAGCAGTGACATTGAGGGTGGTCACCGTCCTTCATTTGTGGTAGAAGCCCTGGTGACTGGGGATAGAATCACACCTCTGACTAAAGGAGGACTCATCTTGGGCCCCATGCTGGGGACAGAGAGCCACCATTATTGGGTGCCCTGACAAGGCAGGGAACAGACAGCGAATGTGCGTGTGTGTCTGCCTCCTAGTGCGCCATGTTCTGACAGAGTGATATGATAGGTGCTGTGTGACTAAGATCAGACTACTCCATGTCTCTGTACTTCGGTTTCTTCTGTAAAAACAGGAATAGCAGTGCCAACCTTTTGAGATTCCATTGGGAAATGTCTCTAAGTGCCAGCACAGCACACTGGCTCTCAGCCCGTTGATCTGCCATGCCTAGCTGTGGGTTTCTCTTGGGAGTTGGAGGGGTCAAGGCAGCAGATTGGACCCTGCAGCTGTCTCTTATAGCAAAAAATACCCAAGGCTTGGGGTTAAAAGATGCCGCCCCTGCCTCCCAGCCTGTGAGGTATCTGGTACCTGACCCTCGCCAGGAGTGCGGAGGGGAAAAGTCCTTCTGCAGGCCCGTGGTTGCCCACTGTCTCTTTGTGCCAAGGGGGTTGCCTTGCTGGCTTGTGTCATTGGTTGGCAGGGCTTTTGACAGTGGAGTCCCTATACCCAGCTCTTCCTCCTGTCGTGAATTAAACAAGGAGGCCCCAGCTTGCCCTAACAGGCCCTGTGGTCCAGCACATGGGAAGCATAACCCTGATCAGGGCTAATGCTGCATCCTGGATGCTATGTACCCTGCACAGAACAGCCATGGATGGACGCTGAGCAAGGCAGGGAACGGGGCGTGGCCCCCCTGCCCCTGGAGCTGGACATCACACAGTCCATTTGTGTGTATGCATGAATGTCACATTCTAGAGTTCCCCTTTCCCCAAACTGGTCCAGAGGCAGTCCAGGGTTACACCTCCAGAGGAGAGCCTGAGTCTGTCCACTTTCCTTCCCCACCAGCCCCAGCCCAGGCATTGTGGCTGCTATAGTGCCCGCCTCCCTGCCACTGCTCAGCAGCCAAGTGCAATCTTCATTAGGCCTCCCTCCAGTCCTGTCCCTTCTCTACGTCAGAGATTCTTGTCATCTTCCACACAAAGCCCAGACATCTCACCTTGCCTTCCAGAGCCCTATGGAAGTCTCAGGTGACTCTCCAGGCCCCTGGCTGCCTCCAGCTCCTCAGGGACCAGGCTTCCTTCCTCTGGGCTTCTGCACACACAGTTCCTTGTGCTGGAAACACTTTGGCTCCCCATCTTCATGTTGAAAACAGGCTCCCATCTCCTGGGTCTCAGCTTAAATCCTACTTCCTCAGAGAAGCCTTTCCCTTTCTAAATCCTTGTCTCCATTGCCCCCCTCCTCGCTTGCAGCCATCCTAGCATCACCACAATTTCAGATCATTTACTTGTTTACTACCTGTCTCTCCACTAGACTGTAAGCTCCATTAGGGCAGGGACCACGTCTGTCTTTGCACCATCAAAGCCTAGCCCAGAGCGGGGCATGTAACTATGCTAGTGCCAAGTGAGTCTGTGTTAAAGAAATGAGTGCATCCCAGGCCGGGCACAGTGGCTAACGCCTATAATCCCAGCACTTTGGGAGGCGGGCAGATCACGAGGTCAGGAGATCGAGACCATCCTGGCTAACAATACAAAAATACAAAAAATTAAAACACTAAAATACTAAAAATACAAAAAATTAGCCGGGCGTGGTGGTGGGCGCCTGTAGTCCCAGCTACTCGGGAGACTGAGGCAGGAGAATGGCATGAACCCGGGACGTGGAGCTTGCAGTGAGCTGAGATCGTGCCACTGCACTCCAGCCTGGACGACAGAGTGAGACTCCATCTCAAAAAAAAAAAAAAAAAAGAAAGAAATGAGTGCATCCCAGGGAAAAAAGGGCTCTTGGACCCTGACCATCGGTGCCCTTAATCAGTATAGATTCAGAATTAGGTTTCCCTTCATATCCTCCCTCTCTAGTCGGAATTAGTGTCTGTTTTAGAAATGAGGAAATGGGCTCTGGGCGAATCCTGGCCAGGGTGAGTGGTGTTGAGATGATGAGTTTTTGCTGCAGTTGGGAAAGGCAGGCTTGGAGTCTGATGTGGAAGGACGCGAGGATGGCGTCCCGGGTTCAGGCCACGGATGAGGCCAAAGGGGAGCAGAAAGGACAGTGTGAGCGAGAAGGGAAGGGAGGGAACAAGTGAGGGAGCCTGGGAAGGTGTTGGCCCAAGACGAAACCCTGGATGCTGGCAGCTGGGGAGCAAGGTGATGTTCTTTAAAAGAGAATTCACAGTCTTCAGCACAGGGGCGGCAGGTCGCTCCTGCTGCTCAGGCTGGCTGGCACCAGGGCTGCTCCCAGGCTCACTGTCGGGGACCCAGCCGTCTCTCAGCCACACCCCATGCCCTAGCATACGCAGCCCCTAGGGCCCAGTTGGGAAAGCCCCAGTCCCACCTCTGGCCACGTCGCTTTGGGCTACATGTGTCGCCTTCCTGAGCTTTAGCTCTCTTGAAGATGGGGGTCAGGCAGATCCACGTTACTGTGATATAATATCTGTAAAGCTTCTAGCCCAGGGCCTGGCACATAGTGCTTAGAGAATTTTCCTTCCTTCCTAATTTCCCTACTGAAGGAACAACTTTTTTAAAGTAACTCTTGAAAAGTTAGGGTCCCATTACATTCAGGATATCGTGTGTTTGGGCTGGTCTAGTCATCAGACCTGAGGAACACGAAGGCTATAGAGGGCAGAGCCCCAGGCTGCAGGTGCTGAGGAACTGCCGCTGCCTGGGCCACCACGCGCCCCAGGGAGGGGCCCACAAGTAGCAGCTCGCAGAGCCAACTGGCCAGGCAGACCCTGGCTGCTGACATGTGCTTCATTCTTCACTGGGGAGCTGGTGTGGGGTCCTGTTCTTCTGAGTAATGAGCAAGATTGGGGTGCAGGCCCAAGACTGCTGTGTATTGGTAAAGAGGGCAAACCCTGCCCTGTCCCCTCCTTGAGCAGAGCCTGGCAGGGTACGTGTGGGCATTGGCCTTGATTCACACGGGCATCCTGCAGCCCCAACAAGATGACACCCTTCTGTGTTCTTGGAGGTAGGTGCCCATTAGCTCAACTGCTGGCCTGCATTCCCAGGGCTTGCTTTTACTTGTCTGTGGTGATGTTGTGCCATGGCCTCTGTGTGTGTTCCTGCTTATTGGTGTTTTCTGCCAAGTAGTCAGGAACCTCCTTGGGCAAGAGCATGTGCATGTACGTGCTTGGGAACAGCTCAATCTTAGCTCCCGCAGGCCCCAGCCGCCTTAGCAGTTCTGCGTGTGTGAACTTTATGGAAGCAGAAAGGGCTGGTGACACTTGGGTTCTTGGGGTTTGTCAGGGGAGGGCACCAAATTGGTCTTGAGGAAGCAGTTAGGTGAGCCCCAGTGACAGTCTTAAGCACAGTGATTGGCAGATAGCAAGTGAAGGAGGGGCAAGGCTGCCACCACTTCTGGCTTCTGGTGAAATTTTACTGGACTGATTCCTAGGAAACTGCTGTTTGTCTTTGAGACCTTTCCACATCAGATGGCCCATGAAGCGTTCCACAGGGACCTTTGGTACAATCCATCTGTCCTACGTGGGCCATCAGAATCCCCTTCTGCACATGGGCTGGAAGAGGAGAGAAGCCCTCCAGCCTGGGGATGGGAGACCTAGGGGTCTCAGGTTCCTGAGAGGTCGAAAGGATTAACATAGTCCAGCTCTGTCTGAGCCTCAGAAAACCTGCCCTCCCTGTTAGAGGCCATGGGAAGAGTGTTCTTTTTAAGCATGAAGAACTGACTGTGGGCCAGGTGTAGTGGCTCACGCCTGTAATCCCAACACTTTGGGAGGCCGAGGTGGGCAGATCAGCTGGGGCCAGGAGTTCTAGACCAGCCTAACATGGCAAAACCACATCTCTCCTAAAAATACAAAAATTAGCCGGGTGTGGTGGCGTGCACCTGTGATCCCAGCTATTTGGGAGGCTGAGGCACAAGAATCACTTGAACCCAGGGGGCAGAGGCTGCAGTGAGCCAAGAGCACACCACTACACTCCAGTCTGGGCAATAGAGCAAGACTGTCTCAAAAAAAAAAAAAGACTGTCATTAGCCAAGCATGGTGGCGTGTACCTGTAGTCCCAGCTACTTGGAAGGCTGAGGTGGGAGGATTGCTTGAGCCCAGGAGGTCAAGGCTGCAGGGAGCCAAGGCGACAGAGCGATGTCTTGTCTCAAAAACAAACAACTAGCTGTGTTGACTAGAGGCAGCTGTGAAACTGTCCTAAAAGGCTGGACTTCGAGAAGTTTCTTCCACAGATTGACCAGGTACTGTAGGTTTCAGTCACAACTGGGGTCCTGACACTGGCAAAACCCCACCAGCTGCCCCACAAGTGGGGCCTGCCCTGAGGTCAGGGAGTTCTCTGCTGTACTGGTTCCTTTATGCACTAGGAAGGCAGACATGCCCTGAGGAGCCCTCAGAGTCCAACCCCAGCACCCCCACTAGGTCATTGCTGCCTTTAATCACATTCCAGATCCAGAGCCACACAGTGGCCCTGGCATTGGTCTCGGGTGTGTCCCATATCAGCAGCACATCTGCAGAGGGGCGTGAGTGCAGGCTCCCTGCTGAAAGCTCCCAGGGGTACCACGGAACAGCGGCTGTTGGTGGTGGACCCTGTGGAGGCTCCTGGCCTTCACTGTGTGTCCCTTGTCTTCCAGGTGAGACTGTGGAGATGAGAAGGTGGTGGACACTCGTGATGGAATGGAAATCGTCCTACCGTGCAGCCACACCCTGCCCTGCCCCGCCCCGCCCCGCCCGCGTGCCTGCCCATGCCAGCACTTCCTTAAGTTCTCACATCACACTCAAACCAGTGACACCACAGGAAAGAAAGACCCAAGACGTTGGAATGGCTGTTTCCATGGACACAATCTCCATAGTGACAATGTGGGGGGAGGGGGGAGGGGTGGGATGATGGGGAAAGGGTGGGGGGAATTAAAAGGGAGGGATAAATATATATATATAAATCTA
Source organism: Homo sapiens (assembly GCF_000001405.40). NCBI lineage: Eukaryota > Metazoa > Chordata > Mammalia > Primates > Hominidae > Homo > Homo sapiens. Next base: position 82,056 of record NW_014040931.1, on the reverse strand, counting down.
TTTTTAGTCTGGAAAGACTTTGTTTAAATGAAAGGTGCGCTATCCCTTTTGATTCTGTTTTAAAATTATCTCGTTAAAGATCTCCAAATTTGTTCCGATGACAAGTGAAATTTAAATGTGAGATTGAACTGAACAAACCCTCATCTCATGAAGGACGGGGTGTGTGTGTGGCGTTGATCTTTAGCCTGTCTCACACCAGTTCAGAAAACACTAGACCCAGGATTGAAAAAGCAAACCACAGCAGAACCATCCTTTTGTCATTAATTTGTCTCAAAGTGGGAAGGTTTTGGGGGAGGGGGAAATACAGGGATGGTCCATGTTTTCAAGAGTAGGGGAATGATGTTTAAACACAAAAATAAATTTTTTTTCATTTCCAGAAACACTATTTATTTATGGTTTTTTTTTTTTAATTTTTTCTTTTTGGGGGTGAAATTGGCAGATGCCTGAGGTCATAGCTGTGTCCTGGGTCACTGTGGCTGGTGAGGACCTCAAGGACCCCATCAAGTGTACACAGCAGCAGCAAAATCAAGGGATGACCCTCCTCTGGGGCCCCCTGTCCTCAGCACATTCCAGGCAGCTGTGCCCTGACCCACAGGGACCCGTGGGGATGGGAGGAGGTCCAGGCCTGTGTTGCCAGAGCTGGCAGTGTGAGCTGTAGGCAGGGACGGGGAGGGACTGTCGCTGTGATCAGAGTGGGTTAAGCTGACCAGGAACACCCATTTAACCCCTTTTTCTTTTTGCTTTCATTTTTATAAAGGAAAAGAGGACCTGTCAGATAGGCAGCCCCATGCTACGTGATTCTTTATGTTGTGTTGTTTTGTTTTGTAAATTGTATAATTTTTAAATATCTGAGTTTTAAAAAAAGAAAAAAGTACAAAAAAATCTTGTTATGGCCTTAAGAAGGGGTTAGTGCATCTTTCAGGGGTCACTCTGCCATGGGGATAAAATAGCTGTTTCACAAACAGTTTTATTTAAAAAAACAAAAAACAAAAAAAATCAAAAAATCAAAAAAATAATAAACTTCATTTTAACCTTGTTTCCTCTTCTGTTTACTTTAAAGTGAATGCGTCTCTTCCTTCTCCCATTCTAACCCCCAAAGGGTAGCTCTGGTTCTCCAGAGGAGGCCATGATCAGAACCTGTCTGTCCCATTCCTGGCCTCTCGATGGCCACGCAGCCGGGAAGCAAACAAAATATAGGGTTCTTCTGCCACTCCTCTGGGCAGGTGGAGTGTGGCCAGTGTATGGGGACAGTCAGATTTACTCAAGTTGATATGAAGACATATTTCCAATCAACATTAAGGGTTATAAAAAAATAATGGAATGTTAATGGACTTTTTTAGAGAATGGAAATACTGGAAGGAATATTGTGAAGCAGAAATAAGCAATTATAAATGAGTTCTGTGTTCATCAATTTGGGGCAGCAGAAATGGCAGATTAATTGTATTTTAATGGCTACATCAAGCAGTCCATTTCTCATTTCACTCCGCCAGGATGGAGGTGTGGGTGGGTGCGCCGTGCCGGCCGTAGGACCAAGCTTAGGCAACTGAACAGGACCTGCACAGAAATGATGGCTTTTTTGAGCTAGTTGTTGTCTCATTCTGGTCTTGACTTGGCATTAATACAGTTAAAATGAAATGGATAGACTTCAGGTGTCAAGGGCTAAACCACAAAACTTGAAAAATATGTATCTTGAGGAAAATATTTTCCTGACAGCAAATGTTTGTCATTTTGTCTTTTATTCTTTTGTCCCCTTTTGATTTGCCTGAGTGGAGCACTTGTGATTGTTCTAGGTCTTTCCTTAAATTGGCTTCAGTAATGACCTTCACTGGGGAGTGGCAGTGATACACGCATGCCTCCTGACTCCAGTTTCTGGCTTCTGCAGTTCTCCTCAACTGCTCAAGTGCCTTTTAGTTCCTTTAGTGTTTGTCTTAATTGATTTTTTTAAAGTAGTTTTATGTTCACAGAAGGATTAAGCTGACGGTACAGACAGTTCCCATATAACCCCTTCCCCCCGTATGCATACCTTTCCCTCTATCAACATCCCAACCAGAGTTGGCATACTGTTTTCACCCAAAGTCCATAGTTTATACTAGGGGCCACTCCCGGTGGTGTACATTTTATGGCCTTTGACAAATGTATAAAGACCTGGATCTGGCAGGGCGTGGTGGCTCTCGCCTATAATCCCAGCATTTTGGGAGGCTCAGGTGGGTGTATCGCTTGAGTTCGAGAACAGCCTGGGCAACATGGCGAAACCCCATCTCTACATAAAAATACAAAAATTAGCCAGGCATGATGGTGCATGCCTGTAGTCTCAGCTACTTGGGAGGCTGAGATGGGAGGATCACTTGAGCCCAGGAGGTCGAGGCTACAGTGAGTCGTGATCGCGCCACCACACTTCAGCCTGGGTGACAGCAAAATCCTGTCTCAAAAAGACGAGGACGCACCATGATCCAGAGTAGTTTCACTGCTCCAGGGATCCTCCGTGTCCCACTGTTCATTCCTCCTTAGCCCCAGTCCCTCACCGCTGAGCCTTTTACTGTCTGCAAAGTTTTGCCTTTTCCAAAGTATCATATAGTTGAGATTAGATAGTAGGTAGCCTTTTTTAGATTGGCTTCATTCACTTAGTAATGTGCATTTAAGGTTCACCCGTGTCTTTTCATGACTTGATAGCTTGTTTCTTTTTAGTGATAAATAATTCCATTGTCTGGCTGTACCACAGTTTATCCATTCAACTGCTGAAGAACATCTTGGTTGCTTTCAAGTTTTGACAATTACAAATGAAGCTGCTGTAAACATCCCTTTGCAGGTTTTTGTGTGGACATAAGGCCTCAACTCCTTTGGGTAAGTACAGGAAGCACGATTGGTGGATTGTATGGTAAGAGTATGTCTAGTTTTGTAAGAAATTGCCAAACTGTCTGGATCACCTGAGGTCAGGAGTTTGAGACCAGCCTGGCCAACATGGTGAAACCCTGTCTCTACTAAAAATACAAAAATCAGCCAGGCATGGTGGCTCACGCCTGCAGTCCCAGCTAAACGGGAGGCTGAGGTGGGAGGATTGCTTGAACGCAGGAGGCAAAGGTTCCAGTGAGCTGAGATCATCGTGCCACTGCACTCCTAGCCTGGGTGACAGAGTGAGTGAGACTCTGTCTCAAAAAAAAAAAAAAAAAAAAAACTGAGAAAAGGAAAAGAAATTGCCAAACTTTCTTCCAAAGTGTCTGTACCATTTTGTACTCCCACCAGCAATGAATGAGTTCCTGATGCTCCACATCCTTGCCAGCATTTGGTGTTGTCAGTGTTCTGGATTTAAGCCATTCTAATAGGTGTGTATATAGCCATTTATTTTTTTAATACTCATAAAGTTTTTAAATTGTGGTTAAAAAAATGTACCATCATAACAGTCACAGTACAGTTTAGTGGGAAATGTGTTCAGATTGTTGTGCAACCAATCTCCAGAATTTTTCATTTTATAAAACGGAAGCTTTACCCATTAAACTGCCCCCCTGCAGGCTGGCCCTGCCCCTGGAGCTTTCCATTTCTGTTTCTAGGGTACAAGCAGCCCTCGATACCCACAGGCTCCGCATCCACAAATTCAACCACACATCAAAGATAACTTGAGAAAGTATAACAACTAAAAATACAAATAAGAGCAGTACAGTATAGCAACTATTTATGTAGCATTTACACTGTATTAGGCATTACAAATAATCTAGAGATGATTTAAAGTATACAGGAGCATTTGCATAGGTATACTATGCCATTTTACATAAGGAACCTGAGCATCCTTGGGTTTTGGTATTTACCGGGGGTCCTGGCACCAATCCCCTCCAGGATACCCAGACACAACTATTCCACTGCCCATAACCCCGTCCCCTTGCAGCTGTGGAAACGCAGAGGTGCTGCTCTGAGGGCAGACAGACCCCACCACTCAGCACTCTTGAGTCGGACCCAGCAGAAACCCATCCCATGGGAGGAGCTGGGAATTGGAGGGTCTCTCCCAGTAGCATTGCTATGCCTGGCAGGGGGAAGGGCAAGAACAAGCAAAATGCTCCAACTTGACTACCCTTCCCAGTGCAGTCCCTCCCTGGCTCTGCACTAGCTGGCATTGCAGCATCCTAACTAGTTTCTAGAATTCTCACGATGTTTTGGTCTCCTATAGCTTTAACATTGAGCTCTCTAGGAGAACGAGAGCCCGCAGTTTCCTAGTCTACCACTTGCTGACATATTTTCACACCATCTCACTTGGCAACGTCCATAGGGCCTGCCAGGGCACAGTGCACTTTTTACCATGACACAGCAGTACCACTGTTCAGGGAAGGCAGGTTGGATCTGTTTCCTAAAAATAATAAATCCCAGAAACATCTATACTGACCATTAATAGAATGTAATGTCCAAACAGTATAGAATAGTAGCTCAGCATACACATTGGATGTGGACTCCTAACACCGCTGTGTGACTTGAACCTTGTTATGTGATCTCTGAGCCTCAGTCTCTGTGCCTTGGGGACCATAAAACCACCTCCTTAGGGGGCTGTGGGAGGATTAATGAGCTAGAGCACACAGTCTGACCAGCAGTTTCTGGCACATAAGTGCCCGATCAATGGAAGCCACAGGTGCACAATGATTGGAAAAGGCCACAGGCATTGTTATTAAATGTTTTCCTCATGCTGCCATATCTTGAATTACAGGCCTCTGGCTGGTAAGGAGGGCACTCGGGAGGACACTGCCCACATTGCAGGCATGCCTGTCCCTGCCCTTCACACCCCCATCATGATTCATGATGACTGCTTGGGGAGGGCCTGACACCTCAAAAGGCCAAGAGTGCATACAGGTAATGTATAAAGGGCCACCATGTAACAAGCACCCAGACCATCCTGCTGTCCCTGCACCTTGATTCTCTCACAGTCCCAAATAGAACAGTGCTGCCATGTAGGACAGGAACATTCATTCAGCTGAGGCCAGTTTGGGAGACCACAAGCCAGATCTGAGAAGTCCCCAGATAGGCATGGGTCTTGCTCTCTCTGTCAGTTGAGTAGCTTCAAAACTTCTGTTGGGCCAGGTGGCTCATGCCTCTATTTCCAACACTTTGGGAGGCCAAGGCAGGAGGATCACTTGAAGCCAGGAGTTCCAGACCAGCGTGGGCAACATAGTGAGGACCCATCTCAACAAAAAAATTAGCCGAGCGTAATGATGTGCACCTGTAGTTCCAGCTACTCGGGACGCTAAAATAGGATCTCTTGATTGAGCACAGGAGTTTGAGTGAGCTATGATCACAGCTCTGCACTCCAGCCTGGGCAACAGAGCAAGATCTTGTCTCTAAAAAATATATATATATTTTTAAATTTTAAATAAACTGTTCTCCCTGCCTTTTGTTCCCCAGATCCAGTCTTCATCCAGACCTGAAAAGACCCAGGCTCCAGCTGCTGGCCTCCTGCTGCCCCTCAGGCCACCTGCACAGGAAATTCCAGGGGTGGGTTGGTCCCACTGCCAGTGCCGTGGCCTACAGTGCTAGGCAGCCCCTCAGTCAGCTAGACAAAGTTCTCCATGAATCCTTCCCAGAAAGTCCTGTTCCAGCCTGGGACAACGTCCCCATGGACCCTCATGGCACTGCTGGCTTGTCATGTCAGCTATGTTACCTTCCTACTCCCCGTGGTCATCATTACGTTGGGGCATTGACTCACAGCCTTACCACCATGCTCCCAGTACACAGCCCAGCACCCAGTACAATCCATACCTGCAACTTGGGTGGAGCTCCCATGCCAGGCCACCTCTCGCCCACCACCCTAATCTGGGTAGGCAACTAGAGCGAGCAGGGGCAAGGACCTCTGCAGCAGCCCATACCCGCCCTGGCCTGACCCTGCACCCACTGGCAGCACAGTCAACACAGCAGGTTGGCTCACAGCAGAAGGCAAAGGCCATCATCAGCTCCCTTTATAAGGGAACGGTCATGCACTGGGTGTGCTGAGAGTGTCCTGCCTGGTCCTCTGTGCCTGGTGGGGTGGAGGTGCCAGGTGTGTCCAGAGGAGCCCAATGGGCAGTGAGGCAGCCATGGGGCTGGATGCACTGGTGCCCCTGGCAGTGACAGTGGCCATCTTCCTGCTCCTGGTGGACCTGATGCAGCAGCACCAACGCTGGACTGCACGCTACCCGCCAGGCCCCCTGCCACTGCCCGGGCTGGGCAACTTGCTGCATGTGGACTTCCAGAACATATACACCTTCAACCAGGTGAGGGAGGAGGTCCTGAGGATCCCCCACCACCAGCAAACATGGGTGGTGGGTGGAGCCACAGTCTGGACAAGAAGCCAGGCTGAGAAGGGGAAGCAGATTTGAGGGACTTCCTGGGGGAGGGCATTTATGCATGGCATGAAAGATGGGATTTTCCAAAGGCCAAGGAAGAGTAGGGCAAGGGCCTGGAGGTGGAGCTGGACTTGGCAGTGGGCGTGCAAGCCCATTGGGCAGCATATGTTAGGAGCACAAAGTCCCCTCTGCTGACACCAGAAGGAAAGGCCTTGGGAATGGAAGACGAGTCAGGGTCCTGTGTGCCGTTTAAATCAGGAAATCAGGCTGTGCGTGGTGGCTCACGCCTATAATCCCAGCACTTAAGGAAGCCAAGGTGGGCGGATCACCTGAGGTCAGGGGTTCCAGATGAGTCTGGCCAACATGGCAAAAACCGGTCTCTACTAAACATACAAAAAATGAGCTGGGCACAGTGGTGCACGCCTGCAATCCCAGCTACTTGGGAGGCTGAGGCAGGAGAATTGCTTGAACTTAGGAGGCAGAGGTTGTAGTGAGTGGAGATTGTGCCATTGCCTTGCAACCTCGGTGACACAGCCAGACAATGTCTAAATAAACGAATAAGAAATCAGGCCGGGCGCGGTGGCTCACGCCTGTAATCCCGGCCCTTTGGGAGGCTAAGGCGGGCGGATCATGAGGTTAGGAGATCGAGACCATCCTGGCTAACACAATGAAACCCGTCTCTACTAAAGATACAAACCAATTAGCCAGGCGAGGTGGTGGGCACCTGTAGTCCCAGCTACTTGGGAGGCTGAGGCAGGAGAATGGCATGAACCCATGAGGCAGAGCTTGAAGTGAGCTGAGAACACACCATTACACTCCAGTCTGGGCGACAGAGCGAGACTCTGTCTCAAAAAAAAAAAAAAAAAAAAAAAAAAAAAAAAAATCAACGGCTGGGCGCGGTGGCTCACACCTGTAATCCCAGCATCTTGGGAGACCAAGGTGGGGGGATCACAAGGTCAGGAGTTCGAGACCAGCCTGGCCAACATGGTGAAACCCTGCCTCTACTAAAAATACAAAAATTAGCGGGGCACGGTGGTGGGCACCTGTAATCCCAGCTACATGGGAGGCTGAGGCAGGTGAATTGCTTGAACCCGGGAGGTGGAGGTTGCAGTGAGCCAAGATCGCGCCATTGCGCTCCAGCCTGGGTGACAGAGCCAGACATGGTCTAAATAAATGAGTAAGTTAGAAATCAAGGATGAAGGGATATAGTGGACCCGGTTCAAACCTTTTGCACTGTGGGTCCTCGGGCCTCACTGCTCACCGGCATGGACCATCATCTGGGAATGGGATGCTAACTGGGGCCTCTCGGCAATTTTGGTGACTCTTGCAAGGTCATACCTGGGTGACGCATCCAAACTGAGTTCCTCCATCACAGAAGGTGTGACCCCATCCCCGCCCCAGGATCGGGAGGCTGGGTCTCCTCCTTCCACCTGCTCACTCCTGGTAGCCCCGAGGGTCGTCTAAGGTTCAAATAGGACTAGGACCTGCAGTCTGGGGGGACCCTGGCCTGATGGAGGCCCTGACCCAACGGAGGCCCTGACCCTCCCTCTACAGCTGCGGCACCGCTTTGGGGACGTGTTCAGCCTGCAGCTGGCCTGGATGCCGGTGGTCGTGCTCAATGGGCTGGCGGCCGTGCGTGAGGCTCTGGTGACCTGCGGCGAGGACACCGCCGACCGCCCGCCTGCGCCCATCTACCAGGTCCTGGGCATCGGGCCGCGCTCCCAAGGCAAGCGGCGGTGGGGGACAGAGACTGCGTTTCCGTGGGTCCTGGGTGGGCGGTGACCGTAGCCCAAGCTGGGCTGAGAGGGCGCGGGGTTGTGGGCCAGTGAGTGGGTTGGGGACAGCGAGCCAGGAAACCACTTCCATTGGGGAGGTGCGAGTCTGTGGGCGGGAGGAAGAGGGGCTTGTGAGTGGGCGGGGCAACTGCCGAGACCCACCAGGAACCGGGTGGGCGGAGCTGGCGCCTTTCCCAGCTGGAAGCGGGTGTCTAGAAGCCGGGATGGACTCTGCTGTGGGCTCAGTATGGGCGGGGCGGGACGGGCGGGATCTTCCCTGAGTGGAAAGGCAGTCAGGGTCGGAAGAGCCAAGGTGGGGCCAAGACCCAAGCAAGGTGAGTGAGCAAAGAGCAGGCCCTGTGCCCAGCTGGACAGGGCCAGGGACTGCGGGAGACCAGGAAAAGCACAGGGTTGGAGTGGGCGGCGGAGGGCGGGGCCAAGGCCTCCATGACCACGCCCATGTGTCCGTCCCGCCCCCAGGGGTGTTTCTGGCACACTACGGACACGCGTGGCGCGAGCAGAGGCGCTTCTCCGTGTCCACCTTGCGCAACTTGGGCCTGGGCAAGAAGTCCCTGGAGCGGTGGGTGACCGAGGAGGCCGCCTGCCTCTGTGCCGCCTTCGCCGACCAAGCCAGTGGGTGATGGGCAGAGGGGCACAAAGCGGGAACTGGGAAGGTGGAGGACTGGGAAGGCGACCCCTGACCCGCATCTCCCGCCCCCAGGACGCCCCTTTCACCCCAACGGCCTCCTGAACAAAGCGGCGAGCAACGTGATCGCCTCCCTCACCTGCGGGTGCCGCTTCGAGTACGACGACCCTCGCTTCCTCAGGCTACTGGACCTAGCTCAGAAGGGATTGAAGGAGGAGCTGGGCTTTCTGTGAGAGATGTGGAGCGAGGGACCGCAGGGTCTCTGCAGGGCGAGCTCCTGAGAGGTGCCGGGACTGCAGCCGGACCTCCAAGGAGCAGGGTTTGCATAGAGTGGTTTGGGAAAGGACATTCCAGAAGAGCTCACTGCTAGAGGAAGGGCCTTGAGGAGGAGGAGACATCTCAGATACGGTCGTGGGAGAGGTGTGCCCGGGTCAGGGGGCACCAAGAAAGGCCAAGGACCCTGTGCCTCCTGTCCACATTGGAGATTTTGATTTTTAGGTTTCTCCTCTGGCAGCCCAGGGCAAGGAGAGAGGGTGGAGGCTGGCACTTGGGGAGGGACTTGGGGAGGTGAGTGGTGGGGACAGGTAGGCCCTGGGTCTTCCCTGGAGGCAGCTGGGGCCTGAGACTGGTCCAGGTGAACGCAGAGCACAGGAGGGATTGAGACCCCGTTCTGTGTCAGCTGTAGATGCTGAATGTTGTCCCCCTCCTCCTGCGCATCCCAGGGCTGGCTGGCAAGGTCCTACGCTCCCAAAAGGCTTTCCTGACCCAGCTGGATGAGCTGCTGACCGAGCACAGAATGATCTGGGACCCAGCCTAGCCACCCCGAGACCTGACTGAGGCCTTCCTGGCAGAGAAGGAGAAGGTGAGAGTGGCTGACACGGTAGGGACCAGGGGTGGTGGGTTGAGCGTCCGGGAGGAATGAGGCAGGCAAAAGGTGGGTCCATTGGATCACTTGGCAAGTGGCACCTGGGCTGACAGGTGCAGAATGTGGAGGTCATTTGGGGGCTTTCCCGTTCTGTCCCCTGAGTACCCTCTCAGCCCTGCTCAGGCCAAGGGGAACCCTGAGAGCAGCTTCAATGATGAGAACCTGCGCATGGTGGTGGCTGACCTGTTCTTTGCCGGGATGGTGACCACCTCGATCACGCTGGCCTGGGGCCTCCTGCTCATGATCCTACGCCCGGATGTGCAGCGTGAGCCCAGCTGGGGCCCAGTGCAGGGGGCAAGGGAGGAAGGGTACAGGTGGGGGCCCCTGAGCTTAGCTGGGACACCCGGGACTCCAAGCACAGGCTTGGCCAGGTTCCTGTAAGCCTAACCTCCTCCAACACAGGAGGCAGGAGAGTGTCAGGGCTGGTCCCCTGGGTGCTGACCCATTGTGGGGACGCGTGTCTGTCCAGGCCGTGTCCAACAGATCGACAACGTGATAGGGCAGGTGTGGTGACCAGAGATGGGTGACCAGGCTCGCATGCCCTGCACCACTGCCGTGATTCACGAGGTGCAGCGCTTTGGGGACATCGTCCCCCTGGGTGTGACCCATATGACATCCCGTGACATCGAAGTACAGGGCTTCCGCATCCCTAAGGTAGGCCTGGCACCCTCCTCACCCCAGCTCAGCACCAGCCCCTGGTGATAGCCCCAGCATGGCCACTGCCAGGTGGGCCCAGTCTAGGAACCCTGGCCACCCAGTCCTCAATGCCACCACATCGACTGTCCCAGCCTGGGTGTGGGGTGCAGAGTATAGGCAGGGCTGGCCTGTCCATCCAGAGCCCCAGTCTAGTGGGGAAGGCAGACCAGGACCTGCCAGAATGTTGGAGGACCCCAATACCTGTAGGGAGAGGGGGTAGCGTGGGCGCTCCCAGGAGGTGTGACTGCGCCCTGCTGTGGGGTCGGAGAGGGTGCTCTGGAGCTTCTCGGGCACAGGACTAGTTGACAGAGTCCAGCTGTGTGCCAGGCAGTGTGTGTCCCCTGTGTGCTTGGGGGTCCCAGCATCCTAGAGTCCAGTCCCCACTCTCACCCTGCATCTCCTGCCCAGGGGATGATGCTCTTCACCAACCTGTCATCGGTGCTGAAGGATGAGGCCGTCTGGGAGAAGCCCTTCCGCTTCCACCCCGAACACTTCCTGGATGCCCAGGGCCACTTTGTGAAGCTGGAGGCCTTCCTGCCTTTCTCAGCAGGTGCCTGTGGGGAGCCCGGCTCCCTGTCCCCTTCCGTGGAGTCTTGCAGGGGTATCACCCGGGAGCCAGGCTCACTGACGCCCCTCCCCTCCCCACAGGCCGCCGTGCATGCCTCGGGGAGCCCCTGGCCCGCATAGAGCTCTTCCTCTTCTTCACCTCCCTGCTGCAGCACTTCAGCTTCTCGGTGCCCACCGGACAGCCCCGGCCCAGCCACTCTCGTGTCGTCGGCTTTCTGGTGACGCCATCCCCCTATGAGCTTTGTGCTGTGCCCCGCTAGAGTTGCTCCTCAGCTGGGACCCTGTTGTACAATAAATTAGTCTAGTGGCTCCCACTTGGTTTCTGTATCCAGTCTGGGCCCCTGCCAAGGTCCTGGTTGTGTTGGGTCGTCAGTCACCTGCCTGATGTCAGTGCTCACCCCTCACCCCTCACCCCTCACCTCATTCATTCATTTTTTTTTTTTTTTTTTTGAGATGGAGCCTACTCTGTCACCCAGGCTGGAGTGCAGTGGTGCAATCTCAGCTCACTGCAACCTCCGCCTCCAGAGTTCAAGCGATTCTCGTGCCTCAGCTTCCTGAGTAGCTGGGATTACAGGCACCGGGTACCACCCCCGGCTCATTTTTGTCTTTTTAGTAGTGATGGGTTTCGCCATGTTGGCCAGTCTGGTTTCAAACTCCTGACTTCACGTGACCACCAGCCTCAGCCTCCCAAAGTGCTGGGATTACAGGCGTGAGCCACCGAGACCAGCCTCACCTCATTCACTCTTACCTGGACGCCTGACTTTACTTGAGATACAGGCATAGTGATTCTCAGCAGGAAACAGCCTGCCCCCACGTCACGCCCAGAGACCCATCACTGGCTGCCTGGCTTGGTGACAAAGTCCATGCGTAAGTCTTGGCTGGGGTGGATATGAATAGGCATATGCCAAGAATCAACCCATTCCCTGGCTAGGGTGGGAGACTGTGTTGTGCTCCCCCAGACCACCCTCAGGTTCAGTGATTTCTAGAAGGTCTCACAGCCCTAGAAAAGCTGTTATTCTCCCTGTTAACAGTTTATTACAGAGAAGGGTACAGATTAAAGTCAGCAAAGATGAAAGGCACAGGGACCAGAGTCCAGAATGACCAGGCCAAGGCTGCAGCTCTCTTTTCTGGTGGACTCCTACAGGCAGTGCTTAATTCTCCCCCAACAGTAAGTGAGGCAGCAGAGAGCCCTGCCAGCCACGGAAGCTCACCTGGGCCTTGGTGTCCATGGTTTTTGTTGGGAGTTGGTCATCCTAGGCTTGAGCCCCCGCAGCATGGCTGACCTCAGTTACTCAGTCTCCAGCCCCTCCTGAAGTCAGATGGATACAGGCCTGACGGCCCCACCCTCGATCACATTGTTGGCATAAACTGTGTTGTACGGTCCAAGGCCCTAGCTATGTACAAAGACACTATTTCAGGCAGGACATTCCAAGGCCTTAGCAGATATCTCCCAGCCTCCTGTCAAGAGTCAGTTTGGACTCTTGGTCCAGTGGCTTGCATTGTGCAAGGAATGACTTCCCCACTTTTTACTACACAGGCCACCCCTCTTGGCTCTAACAGCAAAATGATATTAGTTTGAGCATCTGTGTGTGTGTGTGTGTGTGTGTGTGTGTGTGTGTTTTCTTGAGACAGGGTCTTGCTCTGTCACCGAGGCTGGAGTGCAGTGATGCCATCAGGGCTCACTGCAGCCTTGACTTCCTGGGTTCAAGCAATCCTCCCATCTCAGCCTCCCTAGTAGCTGGGACTGCAGGCACATGCCACCATGCTTTGCTAATTTTTGTATTTTTTGTAGAGACGGAGTTTCACCATGTTGGCCAGGCTGCTTTCGAACTCCCTATCTCAGGTCATCTGACTGCCTCAGCCCCCCAGAGTGCTGGGATTACAGGTGTAAGCTACTGTGCCCAGCCAAATTTCCTTCCTAATTTCTTCATTGAACCACTGGCCATTCCGGACCATATTGTTTAATTTTCACGTGTATGTATAGTTTCCAGAATTCCTCTTGTTGTTGATTTCCACTTTTATTCTGTTGTGGTCAGAGAAGATGCTTGATATTATTTTAACATTTGTAATGTTTTAAGACTTGCTTTGTGACCTAACATATGGTGTATCCTTGAGAATGATCCATGTGCTGAGGAGAAGAATGTGTATTCTGCAGACTTTAGACGAAGTGTTCTGTAAGTATCTAGTAGGTCCATTTCTTTTGTAGTGCAGATTAAGTCTAATGTTTTCTTATTGGGTTTCCATCTGGGACACCCGTCCAATGCTGAATGTGGGGTGTTGACGTCTTTAGCTGTTATTGCGTTAACGTCTCTCTTGGGCTCCAATAACATTTGCTTTACGTGCTCCAGTGTTGTGTGCATATGTATTTACAATTGTTATATTCTGTTGCTGGATGACCTTCTTTGTCTCCTCTTACAGTTTTTTTGGTTGTTGTTGTTTGTTTGTTTTGTTTTGGAGACGGAGTCTCGCTCTGTCACCCAGGCTGGAGTGCAGTGGCGCGATCTTGGCTCACTGCAAGCTTCGCCTCCCAGGTTGACGCCATTCTCCTGCCTCAGCCTCCTGAGTAGCTGGGACTACAGGCGCCCGCCACCACGCCTGGCTAATTTTTTGTATTTTTAGTAGAGACGGGGTTTCACCATGTTAGCCAGGATAGTCTCAATCTCCTGACCTCGTGATCCGCCCGTCTTGGCCTCCCAAAGTGCTGGGATTACAGGCGTGAGCCACCACACCCGGCCTCCTCTTACAGTTTTTGTTTTAAAATCTGTTCTGTCTAAGTATTGCTACTCCTGCTCTTTTTTGTTTTCCATTGGCATGGAGTATCTTTTTCCATCCCTTTATTTTCAGTCCATGTGTATCTTTACAGGTGAAGTGTGTTTCTTCTAGACAAAAGAGCATTGAGCTTTGCTTTTTCATCCATTCAGCCACTCTGTGTCTTTGTATTGGAGAGTTTAGTCCATTTACATTCAATGTTATTATTGCTAAGCAGGGACTTACTCCTGCTATTTTGTTATTTCTTTTCTCACTGTTTTGTGGTCTTCTCTTTTTTTTTTTTTTTTTTTTTTTTTTTCCTTGTCTTCCTTTTAATGAAGGTGATTTTCTCTGGTGGTATGATTTAATTTCTTGCTTTTTTGTGTGTGTGTATCCATTGTGTGTTTTTTCTTCTTTTCTTTTTGAGACACAGTCTCACTTATTGTGTGCTTTTTGATTTGAGGTTGCCGTGAGGCTTGCAAATATTATCTTATAACTCATTATTTTAAACGGATGACAACACTGATTGTGTAAACAAACATAAAGCAAAAGGAAGACTAATAAAAACTCTACACTTTAAGTTCATCTTAGTGCTTTTTAACTTTTTGTTGTTTCTCTTTTTTTGTTTTTGAGATAAAGTCTTGCTCTGTTGCCCAGGCTAGAGTGCAGTGGCACGATCTCAGCTCACTGTAACCTCCACTTCCCAGGTTCAACCGATTCTCCTGCCTCAGCCTCCTGGGTAGCAGGCGCCCACCACCATGCCCAGCTAAATTTTTTGTATTTTTAGTAGAGATGGGGTTTCACCATGTTGGCCAGGCTTGTCTCGAACTCCTGCCCTCAGGTGATCCACCCACCTCAGCCTTACAAAGTGCTGGGATTACCTGCGTGAGCCACCGGGTCCGGCCTCTTTATGTCTTACTGTACTGTCTGTCTTGAAAAGTACTTATTATTTTTGATTGGTTCATCATTTAGTCTAATTAAAATAAGAGTAGTTTACACACCACAATTACAGTATTATAATACTCTGTTTTTCTGTGTGCTTACTATTACCAGTGAGTTTTGTACCTTTAGATGATTTCTTCTTGCTCATTAATATCCTTTTTTTTTTCAGATTGAAAAACTCCCTTTAGCATTTCTTGTGGGATATAGGTCTGGTGTTGATGAAATCTCGCAGCTTTTGTTTGTCTGGGAAGGTCTTTATTTCTCCTTCCTGTTGGAAGGATATTTTTGCCAGATACGTTATTCTAGGCTAAAAGTTTTTTTTCCTTCAGCACTTTAAATATGTCATGCCACTCCCCCCTGGCCTGTAAGGTTTCCACTGGAAAGGTGGCTGCCCCATGTCATGTATTGGAGCTCTACTGCATGTTATTTGTTTCTTTTCTCTTGCTGCTTTTAGGATCCTTTCTTTATCCTTGACCTTTCGGAGTTTAATTATCAGATGCCTTGAGGTCGTCTTCTTTGGGTTAAATCTGCTTGGTGTTCTATAAACTTCTTGTACAAAAAATCAGCCAGGCATGGTGGTGGGCACCTGTAATCCCAGCTACTTGGGAGGCTGAGGCAGGAGAATCGCTTGAACCCTGGAGGTGGAGGTTGCAGTGAGCCGAGATCGCATCATTGCACTCCCACCTGGGCGACAGAGCAAAACTCCGTCTCAAAAAAAAAATTATTTGGGCTCGGTGGTGCCTGTAGTCCCAGCTACTTGGGAGGCAGGAGGTCCACTTGATGTTGAGATTGCAGTGAGCCATGATCCTGCCACTGCACTCCGGCCCGGGCAACAGAGTGAGACCCTGTCTAAAGAAAAAATAAAAATAAAAAAGCAACATATCCTAAATAAAGGATCCTCCATAATGTTTCCACCAGATTTCTAATCAGAAACATGGAGGCCAGGAAGCAGTGGAGAATGACGACCCTCAGGCAGCCCTGGAGGATGCTGTCACAGGCTGGGGCAAGGGCCTTCAGGCTACCAACTGGGAGCTCTGGGAACAGCCCTGTTGCAAACAGGAAGTCATGGCCCGGCCAGAGCCCAGAATGTGGGCTGAGCTGGGATCCATGTGACAGCTTTGAGGCTCACCGGGAGCAGCCTCTGGACAGGAGAGGTCCCATCCAGGAAACCTCGGGCATGGCTGGGAAGTGGGGTACTTGGTGCCGGGTCTGTATGTGTGTGTGACTGGTGTGTGTGAGAGAGAATGTGTGCCCTGAGTGTCAGTGTGAGTCTGTGTATGTGTGAATATTGTCTTTGTGTGGGTGATTTTCTGCATGTGTAATCGTGTCCCTGCAAGTGTGAACAAGTGGACAAGTGTCTGGGAGTGGACAAGAGATCTGTGCACCATCAGGTGTGTGCATAGCGTCTGTGCATGTCAAGAGTGCAAGGTGAAGTGAAGGGACCAGGCCCATGATGCCACTCATCATCAGGAGCTCTAAGGCCCCAGGTAAGTGCCAGTGACAGATAAGGGTGCTGAAGGTCACTCTGGAGTGGGCAGGTGGGGGTAGGGAAAGGGCAAGGTCATGTTCTGGAGGAGGGGTTGTGACTACATTAGGGTGTATGAGCCTAGCTGGGAGGTGGATGGCCGGGTCCACTGAGACCCTGGTTATCCCAGAAGCCTGTGTGGGCTTGGGGAGCTTGGAGTGGGGAGAGGGGGTGACTTCTCCGACCAGGCCTTTCTACCACCCTACCCTGGGTAAGGGCCTGGAGCAGGAAGCAGCGGCAAGGACCTCTGGAGCAGCCCATACCTGCCCTGGCCTGACTCTGCCACTGGCAGCACAGTCAACACAGCAGGTTCACTCACAGCAGAGGGCGAAGGCCATCATCAGCTCCCTTTATAAGGGAAGGGTCACGCGCTCGGTGTGCCGAGAGTGTCCTGCCTGGTCCTCTGTGCCTGGTGGGGTGGGGGTGCCAGGTGTGTCCAGAGGAGCCCAGTTGGTAGTGAGGCAGCCATGGGGCTAGAAGCACTGGTGCCCCTGGCCATGATAGTGGCCATCTTCCTGCTCCTGGTGGACCTGATGCACCGGCACCAACGCTGGGCTGCACGCTACCCGCCAGGTCCCCTGCCACTGCCCGGGCTGGGCAACCTTGCTGCATGTGGACTTCCAGAACACACCATACTGCTTCGACCAGGTGAGGGAGGAGGTCCTGGAGGGCGGCAGAGGTCCTGAGGATGCCCCACCACCAGCAAACATGGGTGGTGGGTTAAACCACAGGCTGGATCAGAAGCCAGGCTGAGAAGGGGAAGCAGGTTTGGGGGACGTCCTGGGGAAGGACATTTATACATGGCATGAAGGACTGGATTTTCCAAAGGCCAAGGAAGAGTAGGGCAAGGGCCTGGAGGTGGAGCTGGACTTGGCAGTGGGCATGCAAGCCCATTGGGCAACATATGTTATGGAGTACAAAGTCCCTTCTGCTGACACCAGAAGGAAAGGCCTTGGGAATGGAAGATGAGTTAGTCCTGAGTGCCGTTTAAATCACGAAATCGAGGATGAAGGGGGTGCAGTGACCCGGTTCAAACCTTTTGCACTGTGGGTCCTCGGGCCTCACTGCTCACCGGCATGGACCATCATCTGGGAATGGGATGCTAACTGGGGCCTCTCGGCAATTTTGGTGACTCTTGCAAGGTCATACCTGGGTGACGCATCCAAACTGAGTTCCTCCATCACAGAAGGTGTGACCCCCACCCCCGCCCCACGATCAGGAGGCTGGGTCTCCTCCTTCCACCTGCTCACTCCTGGTAGCCCCGGGGGTCGTCCAAGGTTCAAATAGGACTAGGACCTGTAGTCTGGGGTGATCCTGGCTTGACAAGAGGCCCTGACCCTCCCTCTGCAGTTGCGGCGCCGCTTCGGGGACGTGTTCAGCCTGCAGCTGGCCTGGACGCCGGTGGTCGTGCTCAATGGGCTGGCGGCCGTGCGCGAGGCGATGGTGACCCGCGGCGAGGACACGGCCGACCGCCCGCCTGCGCCCATCTACCAGGTCCTGGGCTTCGGGCCGCGTTCCCAAGGCAAGCGGCGGTGGGGGACAGAGACCGCGTTTCCGTGGGCCCCGGGTGGACAGTGACCGTAGCCCAAGCAGCGCCGACAGGGCGTGGGGTCCTGGACGTGAAACAGAGATAAAGGCCAGCGAGTGGGCTGAGGACAGTGGGCCAGGAAACCACCTGCACGGGGGAGGTGCGAGTCTGTGGGCTGGGAGGGGGCGGGGCTACTGCCCAGACCCGCCAGAAGCCCGGTGGGCGAGGCTGATGCGTCGAAGTGGCGGTGGCGGGGACCGCGCCTATGCTGCGGGCTCAGTGTGGGCGGGACGGGCGGGATCTTCCTTGAGTGGAAAGGTGGTCAGGGTGGGCAGAGACGAGGTGGGGCCAAACCCCGCCCCAGGCAGGGGAGCAATGTGGGTGAGCAAAGAGTGGGCCCTGTGCCCAGCTGGACCGGGCTAGGGACTGCGGGAGACCTTGTGGAGCGCCAGGGTTGGAGTGGGTGGCGGAGGGTGGGGCCAAGGCCTTCATGGCAACGCCCACGTGCCCGTCCCGCCCCCAGGGGTGATCCTGTCGCGCTATGGGCCCGCGTGGCGCGAGCAGAGGCGCTTCTCCGTGTCCACCTTGCGCAACTTGGGCCTGGGCAAGAAGTCGCTGGAGCAGTGGGTGACCGAGGAGGCCGCCTGCCTTTGTGCCGCCTTCGCCGACCAAGCCGGTGGGTGATGGGCAGAAGGGCACAAAGCGGGAACTGGGAAGGCGGGGGACGGAGAAGGCAACCCCTTACCCGCATCTCCCACCCCCAGGACGCCCCTTTCGCCCCAACGGCCTCTTGGACAAAGCCGTGAGCAACGTGATCGCCTCCCTCACCTGCGGGCGCCGCTTCGAGTACGACGACCCTCGCTTCCTCAGGCTGCTGGACCTAGCTCAGGAGGGACTGAAGGAGGAGTCGGGCTTCCTGCGCGAGGTGCGGAGCGAGAGACCGAGGAGTCTCTGCAGGGCGAGCTCCTGAGAGGTGCCGGGGCTGGACTGGGGCCTCCGAAGGGCAGGATTTGCATAGATGGGTTTGGGAAAGGACATTCCAGGAGACCCCACTGTAAGAAGGGCCTGGAGGAGGAGGGGACATCTCAGACATGGTCGTGGGAGAGGTGTGCCCGGGTCAGGGGGCACCAGGAGAGGCCAAGGACTCTGTACCCCCGTCCACGTTGGAGATTTCGATTTTAGGTTTCTCCTCTGGGCAAGGAGAGAGAGGGTGGAGGCTGGCACTTGGGGAGGGACTTGGTGAGGTCAGTGGTAAGGACAGGCAGGCCCTGGGTCTTCCTGGAGATGGCTGGGGCCTGAGACTGGTCCAGGTGAACGCAGAGCACAGGAGGGATTGAGACCCCGTTCTGTCTGGTGTAGGTGCTGAATGCTGTCCCCGTCCTCCCGCACATCCCAGCGCTGGCTGGCAAGGTCCTACGCTTCCAAAAGGCTTTCCTGACCCAGCTGGATGAGCTGCTAACTGAGCACAGGATGACCTGGGACCCAGCCCAGCCACCCCGAGACCTGACTGAGGCCTTCCTGGCAAAGAAGGAGAAGGTGAGAGTGGCTGCCACGGTGGGGGGCAAGGGTGGTGGGTTGAACGTCCCAGGAGGAATGAGGGGAGGCTGGGCAAAAGGTTGGACCAGTGCATCACCCGGCGAGCCGCATCTGGGCTGACAGGTGCAGAATTGGAGGTCATTTGGGGGCTACCCCGTTCTATCCCCTGAGTATCCTCTCGGCCCTGCTCAGGCCAAGGGGAGCCCTGAGAGCAGCTTCAATGATGAGAACCTGCGCATAGTGGTGGGTAACCTGTTCCTTGCCGGGATGGTGACCACCTCGACCACGCTGGCCTGGGGCCTCCTGCTCATGATCCTACACCTGGATGTGCAGCGTGAGCCCAGCTGGGGCCCAAGGCAGGGACTGAGGGAGGAAGGGTACAGCTGGGGGCCCCTGGGCTTAGCTGGGACACCCGGGGCTTCCAGCACAGGCGTGGCCAGGCTCCTGTAAGCCTAACTTCCTCCAACACAGGAGGAAGGAGAGTGTCCCCTGGGTGCTGACCCATTGTGGGGACGCATGTCTGTCCAGTCCGTGTCCAACAGGAGATCGACGACGTGATAGGGCAGGTGCGGCGACCAGAGATGGGTGACCAGGCTCACATGCCCTACACCACTGCCGTGATTCATGAGGTGCAGCGCTTTGGGGACATCGTCCCCCTGGGTGTGACCCATATGACATCCCGTGACATCGAAGTACAGGGCTTCCGCATCCCTAAGGTAGGCCTGGCGCCCTCCTCACCCCAGCTCAGCACCAGCCCCTGGTGATAGCCCCAGCATGGCTACTGCCAGGTGGGCCCACTCTAGGAACCCTGGCCACCTAGTCCTCAATGCCACCACACTGACTGTCCCCACTTGGATGGGGGGTCCAGAGTATAGGCAGGGCTGGCCTGTCCATCCAGAGCCCCCGTCTAGTGGGGAAGACAAATCAGGACCTGCCAGAATGTTGGAGGACCCAGCGCCTGCAGGGAGAGGGGGCAGTGTGGGTGCCTCTGAGAGGTGTGACTGCGCCCTGCTGTGGGGTCGGAGAGGGTACTGTGGAGCTTCTCGGGCGCAGGACTAGTTGACAGAGTCCAGCTGTGTGCCAGGCAGTGTGTGTCCCCCGTGTGTTTGGTGGCAGGGGTCCCAGCATCCTAGAGTCCAGTCCCCACTCTCACCCTGCATCTCCTGCCCAGGGAACGACACTCATCACCAACCTGTCATCGGTGCTGAAGGATGAGGCCGTCTGGAAGAAGCCCTTCCGCTTCCACCCCGAACACTTCCTGGATGCCCAGGGCCACTTTGTGAAGCCGGAGGCCTTCCTGCCTTTCTCAGCAGGTGCCTGTGGGGAGCCCGGCTCCCTGTCCCCTTCCGTGGAGTCTTGCAGGGGTATCACCCAGGAGCCAGGCTCACTGACGCCCCTCCCCTCCCCACAGGCCGCCGTGCATGCCTCGGGGAGCCCCTGGCCCGCATGGAGCTCTTCCTCTTCTTCACCTCCCTGCTGCAGCACTTCAGCTTCTCCGTGGCCGCCGGACAGCCCCGGCCCAGCCACTCTCGTGTCGTCAGCTTTCTGGTGACCCCATCCCCCTACGAGCTTTGTGCTGTGCCCCGCTAGAATGGGGTACCTAGTCCCCAGCCTGCTCCCTAGCCAGAGGCTCTAATGTACAATAAAGCAATGTGGTAGTTCCAACTTGGGTCCCCTGCTCACGCCCTCGTTGGGATCATCCTCCTCAGGGCAACCCCACCCCTGCCTCATTCCTGCTTACCCCACCGCCTGGCCGCATTTGAGACGGGTACGTTGAGGCTGAGCAGATGTCAGTTACCCTTGCCCATAATCCCATGTCCCCCACTGACCCAACTCTGACTGCCCAGATTGGTGACAAGGACTACATTGTCCTGGCATGTGGGGAAGGGGCCAGAATGGGCTGACTAGAGGTGTCAGTCAGCCCTGGATGTGGTGGAGAGGGCAGGACTCAGCCTGGAGGCCCATATTTCAGGCCTAACTCAGCCCACCCCACATCAGGGACAGCAGTCCTGCCAGCACCATCACAACAGTCACCTCCCTTCATATATGACACCCCAAAATGGAAGACAAATCATGTCAGGGAGCTATATGCCAGGGCTACCTCCCAGGGCTCAGTCGGCAGGTGCCAGAACATTCCCTGGGAAGGCCCCAGGAAAACCCAGGACCGAGCCACCGCCCTCAGCCTGTCACCTTGTGTCCAAAATTGGTGGGTTCTTGGTCTCACTGACTTCAAGAATGAAGCCGTGGACCCTCACGGTGAGTGTTACAGTTCTTAAAGATGGTGTGTTCAGAGTTTGTTCCTTCTGATGTTAAGACGTGTTCAGAGTTTCTTCCTTCTGGTGGGTGCGTGGTCTTGCTGGCTTCAGGAGTGAAGCTGCAGACCTTCACAGTGAGTGTTACGGCTCTTAAGGCTGCACGTACGGAGTTGTTCATTCTTCCTGGTGGGTTTGTGGTCTCACTGGCCTCAGGAGTGAAACTGCAGTCCTTCCAGTGTTACAACTCATAAAGGCAGTGTGGACCCAATGAGGGAGCAGCAGCAGCAAGACTTACTGCAAACAGCAAAAGAATGATGGCAACCAGGTTGCCGCTGCTACTTCAGGCAGCCTGCTTTTATTCCCTTATCTGACCCCCACCCACATCCTGCTGATTGGCCCATTTTACAGACAGTGGATTGGTCCACTTACAGAGAGCTGATTGGTGCATTTACAATCCCTGAGCTAGACACAGAGTACTGATTGGTATATTTACAAACCTTGAGCTAGACACAGAGTGCTGAATGGTGTATTTACAATCCCTTAGCTAGACATAAAGGTTGTCCCAGTCCCCACTAGATTAGCTAGATAGAGTAGACAGAGAGCACTGATTGGTGCGTTTACAAACCTTGAGTTAGACACAGGGTGCTGACTGGTGTGTTTACAAACCTTGAGCTAGACACAGAGTGCTGATTGGTGTATTTACAATCTTTTAGCTAGAAATAAAGGTTCCCCAAGTCCCCACCAGATTAGCTAGATAGAGTGCTAATTGGTGCATGCACGAACCCGGAGCTAGACACAGAGTGCTGATTGGTGCATATACAATCCTCTGGCTAGACATAAAAGTTCTCCAAGTCCCCACCTGACTCAGGAGCCCAGCCAGCTTCGCCTAGTGGATCCTATGCCAGGGCCACAGGCAGAGCTGCCTGCTAGTCCCACACCGGGCACCTGTACTCCTCAGCCCTTGGGCAGTGGACGGGACCAGGTGCCGTGGAGCAGTGGGAGGCACCCATCCGGGAGGCTCGGGCCTCGCAGGGAGCCCACCGTAGGGAGGCTTGGGCATGGCAGGCTGCAAGTCCTGAGCCCTGCCCCGCGGGGAGGTGACTGAGGCCTGGCGACAATTCAAGTGTGGTGAGCGCCGGCAGGCCAGCAGTACTGGGGGACCCGGTGCCCCCTCTGCAGCTGCTGGCCCAGGTGCTAAGCCCCTCACTGCCTGGGGCCAGAGGCACCAGCCGGCCGCTCCGAGTGCAGGGCCCGCTGAGCCCCTGCCCACCCAGAACTGGTGCTGGCCCGCGAGCAACCCAGGTTCCCGCACACGCCTCTCCCTCCATACCTCCCCGCAAGCAGACGGAGCCGGCTCCAGCCTCCACCAGTCCAGAGAGGGGCTCCCACAGTGCAGCGCTGGGCTGAAGGGCTCCTCAAGTGTGGTCAGAGCAGAAGCTGAGGCCGAGGAGGCGCTGAGAGCGAGCGAGGACCACCAGCACGTTGACACCTCTCAACCTCACCACAGGACTGGCCACCTCTCTGGGCCCTCAGGGATGCTGCTGTCTGGACCCCTGACCAGTGACGAGTTCGCACTCAGGGCCAGGCTGGCGCTGGAGGAGGACACTTGTTTGGCTCCAACCCTAGGTACCATCCTCCCAGTAGGGATCAGGCAGGGCCCACAGGCCTGCCCTAGGGACAGGAGTCAACCTTGGACCCATAAGGCACTGGGGCGGGCAGAGAAGGAGGAGGTGGCATGGGCAGCTGAGAGCCAGAGACCCTGACCCTAGTCCTTGCTCTGCCATTACCCCGTGTGACCCCGGGCCCACCCTTCCCCACCCTTCCCCACCCTTCCCCACCCCGGGCTTCTGTTTCCCTTCTGCCAACGAGAAGGCTGCTTCACCTGCCCCGAGTCCTGTCTTCCTGCTCTGCCTTCTGGGGCTGTGGCCCTTGCTGGCCTGGAGCCCCAACCAAGGGCAGGGACTGCTGTCCTCCACGTCTGTCCTCACCGACATAATGGGCTGGGCTGGGCACACAGGCAGTGCCCAAGAGTTTCTAATGAGCATATGATTACCTGAGTCCTGGGCAGACCTTCTTAGGGAACAGCCTGGGACAGAGAACCACAGACACTCTGAGGAGCCACCTGAGGCCTCTTTTGCCAGAGGACCCTACAGCCTCCCTGGCAGCAGTTCCGCCAGCATTTCTGTAAATGCCCTCATGCCAGGGTGCGGCCCGGCTGTCAGCACGAGAGGGACGTTGGTCTGTCCCCTGGCACCGAGTCAGTCAGAAGGGTGGCCAGGGCCCCCTTGGGCCCCTCCAGAGACAATCCACTGTGGTCACACGGCTCGGTGGCAGGAAGTGCTGTTCCTGCAGCTGTGGGGACAGGGAGTGTGGATGAAGCCAGGCTGGGTTTGTCTGAAGACGGAGGCCCCGAAAGGTGGCAGCCTGGCCTATAGCAGCAGCAACTCTTGGATTTATTGGAAAGATTTTCTTCACGGTTCTGAGTCTTGGGGGTGTTAGAGGCTCAGAACCAGTCCAGCCAGAGCTCTGTCATGGGCACGTAGACCCGGTCCCAGGGCCTTTGCTCTTTGCTGTCCTCAGAGGCCTCTGCAAAGTAGAAACAGGCAGCCTTGTGAGTCCCCTCCTGGGAGCAACCAACCCTCCCTCTGAGATGCCCCGGGGCCAGGTCAGCTGTGGTGAAAGGTAGGGATGCAGCCAGCTCAGGGGAGTGGCCCAGAGTTCCTGCCCACCCAAGGAGGCTCCCAGGAAGGTCAAGGCACCTGACTCCTGGGCTGCTTCCCTCCCCTCCCCTCCCCAGGTCAGGAAGGTGGGAAAGGGCTGGGGTGTCTGTGACCCTGGCAGTCACTGAGAAGCAGGGTGGAAGCAGCCCCCTGCAGCACGCTGGGTCAGTGGTCTTACCAGATGGATACGCAGCAACTTCCTTTTGAACCTTTTTATTTTCCTGGCAGGAAGAAGAGGGATCCAGCAGTGAGATCAGGCAGGTTCTGTGTTGCACAGACAGGGAAACAGGCTCTGTCCACACAAAGTCGGTGGGGCCAGGATGAGGCCCAGTCTGTTCACACATGGCTGCTGCCTCTCAGCTCTGCACAGACGTCCTCGCTCCCCTGGGATGGCAGCTTGGCCTGCTGGTCTTGGGGTTGAGCCAGCCTCCAGCACTGCCTCCCTGCCCTGCTGCCTCCCACTCTGCAGTGCTCCATGGCTGCTCAGTTGGACCCACGCTGGAGACGTTCAGTCGAAGCCCCGGGCTGTCCTTACCTCCCAGTCTGGGGTACCTGCCACCTCCTGCTCAGCAGGAATGGGGCTAGGTGCTTCCTCCCCTGGGGACTTCACCTGCTCTCCCTCCTGGGATAAGACGGCAGCCTCCTCCTTGGGGGCAGCAGCATTCAGTCCTCCAGGTCTCCTGGGGGTCGTGACCTGCAGGAGGAATAAGAGGGCAGACTGGGCAGAAAGGCCTTCAGAGCACCTCATCCTCCTGTTCTCACACTGGGGTGTCACAGTCCTGGGAAGTTCTTCCTTTTCAGTTGAGCTGTGGTAACCTTGTGAGTTTCCTGGAGGGGGCCTGCCACTACCCTTGGGACTCCCTGCCGTGTGTCTGGGTCTAACTGAGCTCTGAAAGGAGAGAGCCCCAGCCCTGGGCCTTCCAGGGGAAGCCTTACCTCAGAGGTTGGCTTCTTCCTACTCTTGACTTTGCGTCTCTGCAGAGGGAGGTGGGAGGGGTGACACAACCCTGACACCCACACTATGAGTGATGAGTAGTCCTGCCCCGACTGGCCCATCCTTTCCAGGTGCAGTCCCCCTTACTGTGTCTGCCAAGGGTGCCAGCACAGCCGCCCCACTCCAGGGGAAGAGGAGTGCCAGCCCTTACCCACCTGAGTGGGCACAGTGTAGCATTTATTCATTAGCCCCCACACTGGCCTGACCATCTCCCCTGTGGGCTGCATGACAAGGAGAGAGAACAGGCTGAGGTGAGAGCTACTGTCAACACCTAAACCTAAAAAATCTATAATTGGGCTGGGCAGGGTGGCTCACGCCTGTAATCCCAGCACTTTGGGAGGCCGAGATGGGTGGATCACCTGAGGTCAGATGTTCGAGACCAGCCTGGCCAACATGGTGAAACCCCGTCTCTACTAAAAATACAAAAAATTAGCTGGGCGTGGTGGTGGGTGCCTGTAATCCCAGCTACTCAGGAGGCTGAGGCAGGAGAATTGCTTGAACCTGGGAGGCAGAGGTTGCAGTGAGCCGAGATCACACCATTGCACTCCAGTCTGGGTGATAAGTATGAAACGCCATCTCCAAAACAAAAGAAAAGCCTAATTCCCCAAGAACTGTCAGTCTTTCACCTGTCTGCTAGCTCCCAGGGAGACCCCACTTGCCAGGGCTGTCTACATTTGTCCTGAGATCTCTTCTGGTGAGAACAGCACTTTCCTCAGGAAAGTTTGTTGAAAGTCATCAGATCCATGATTGAAAATCGAAGCTGCCTGTGGTGATGGATAACAGCTGGGGTTAAAAAGCAGCAGCTGGGGCATGAGCGGTCCACAGTGAGTTTTTGTTGTTTTTGTTTTTTTGGGTGGGGGATGGGGTCTTGCTAGGTCTCAAACTCCTGGCCTCAAGTCATCCTCCCATTACAGCCTTCTGAGTCACTGACACTACAGGTGTGAGCCACCATGTCCAGCTTGTAGTGGTTTTGAACAGCTCTTGCCCCTTCTTGGGAATCTAGGTGCCCTGCACGTGGGTAAGGCTGTCTGCAGCTGTGCCCATATTCAGGAAGGCCGGCAAGGCCCTGAGCCCTCACCCGTGACTGACCTGAGGTGCTGTGCAGACAGCAGGTGACGGCTAAGGGAAAGTTGAGCACTGCCTAGCCGAGCACTGAAGCCACGCCCGGCACACAGAGAGAGACCCACTCGGCAAAGACTTCGCTTCCAGGCACCTAAGGAACTCTCTGACCAGTCATTAGCTGACCACTGCCGTAACTGAAGAGCGGCTTCAGTGGCCACAGCTCGCAGGGAATGGAGACATTAATGCTTAGTCAGAATTAGTTCAGAAAAGTCACCCAGCAAAGAAACAGCTCCAACAGGCAACAACAACAACACATCCTTGGCAGGGAAGAGAATCTGACTTCCGGAGTTGCCACATTATCGCCCGTGAAATGTCCAGGTTTTAACAAATTATGAGACATGGAAAGGAAACCGAAAGGACGACCCAGACACGGGAAAAGTCACCAATGGGACCAGCCCGATGCTGCAATTGCTAGACAAAGACGTTCAGTCAGCTCATTTAAATATGTTCAAAGACCTAAAACATGCTGCATCTGAGGCTGCACCGGCTGGAACCTGCTGATCTCGGAAGCTAAGCATGGTCAGGCCTGGCTAGTACTTCAAAGGGAGAAACCACGTGTAGGCCTGGTGCAGTGGCTCACACCTATAATCCTAGCACTCTGGGAAGCTGAGGCCCGTGGATTGCTTGAGCCCAGGAGTTTGAGAGCAGCTTGGGAAATGTGGTGAGACCCCCATCTCTACAAAAAATTTAAAAAATTAGCTGGCTGCCTATGGTCCCAGCCTCTCAGGATGCTGAGGTAGGAGGATCACTTCAGCCCAGGAAGTTGAGGCTGCAGTGAGCCATGACTGCATCACTGCACTCCAGCTTGGGCGACAGAGAGACCCTCTCCCAAGAAAAAGAAAAGAACCATGTCAAAAGAACTAACGAAAGTGTGGGAACAATGTCTCACCAATTAGAGAATATCAATAATGGGATGAACCTTATAAAAAGGGGCTGGGCATGGTGGCTCATGCCTATAATCCCAGCACTTTGGGAGGCTGAGGCGGGCATATCATGAGGTCAAGAGATTGAGACCAGCCTGGCCAACATGGTGAAACCCCGTCTCTACTTAAAATACAAAAATTAGCCGGGCGTGGTGGCACGTGCCTGTAATCCCAGCTACTCGGGAGGCTGAGGCAGGAGAATCGCTTGAACCCGAGAGGCAGAGATTGCAGTGAGCCGAGATTGCACCACTGCACTACAGCCTGGGTGACAGAGCGATACTCCAAAAAACAAAACAAAACAAAAAACAAAAAAAAAGTTTAAAAAGGAACCAAATAAAAATTCTGGAGTTGTAGGGTAAAATAAATGAAAATTCATCCCAGGGGCCCAAGAGCAGATTGGAACAATTGGAAGAAAGAGCCTGTGACTATGGAGAGAGGCCACCTGAGGTAGTCCCCTCTGAGGAACAGGAACAAGCATGAAGAGCAATGCACAGAGATCCAGAGACCTGGAGACGCCGTCAAGCTTTCCGACATACACACAATGGGAGTCCCAGGAAAGAAGACAGGGAGAAAGGAGTAAAGGAATAGTTGAAGAATTAATGGCTGAAAAACCTCCCAAATCTGATGAAAAATATTAATCCGTACATCCAAAAAGCTCATCAAACTCCAAGTAGGGTAAACTCAAAGAGATCTTCAGCCATACGCATCATCATAATCACTGTCAAAAGACAGATTTTTCTTTTTTTAGAATTTTAAATGTACCTTTTAATTTGCTCCTGGGGCAAAGAGCCAGGACTGGTACTAGAGCAGTGTCTGGGATGAGAAGAATTTAATAAAATGGGATTAGGTCCAATGGTTGGGTTAGGGGAGGCAACCTGCTCGGAAGGATCAGCCTCAACCTATCCATGCAGCAGGGCCTCCACCTGTCCCTCTCCGTAGTCCCACACCTGGAACCCAGAGCCATCTGCCTCTTCCCAGATCATGGCCGACAGCACTCCACCGGACTGCTGCTGGAGCAGGCACAGGATTCACTTATTGAGGGCTGTGGCCTGGCACAGATCATAGCCTATACCCAGGGACAGTTGTGTCACTTCTGCCACCACCACATCCGCCTTCTGCAGCCACATCAAGTACCACTCATGGATGAGCCCGTCACCCCCAGCGGACTTATCAACCCCGCGTCCAGCTCCACAGCCGCCACGTGCTCGGTGAGCACTGGCTCCAAGCATGGCAGCTGCCATACAATCCACCTGTAGAGGGCCCGGTCCTCCTGTCCTCAGTGGATGATCCCGTAGAAGTCCAGAGCTCGGCAGCTGCCCTCCCACAAAAGACAGGATTTTGAAAGCAGCAAGAGAGAAGAGACGTATCAGGTAGTCACAGTGGCTCAGGCCTGTAATCCCAGCACTTTGGGAGGCCCAGGTGGGAGGATCGCTTCACCCCAGGAATTCAAGACCAGCCTGGACAACTTGGAAGAACCCGGTCTCTACAAAAAATACAAAATTAGCTGGGATTGGGTGCGGTGGCTCATGCCTATAATCCCAGCACTTTGGGAGCCTGAGGTGGGTGGATCACCTGAAGTCAGGAGTTCAAGACTAGCCTGGCCAACATGGTGAAACCCTATCTCTACTGAAAATATAAAAAGCTAGACGTGGTGGCACACACCTGTAATCCCAGCTACTTAGGAGGCTGAGGCAGGAGAATTGCTTGAAGCCTAGAGGTGAAGGTTGTAGTGAGCCGAGATTGCATCATTGCACAATGGAGGGGAGCCACCAGCCTGGGCAACAAGAGGAAATCTCCGTCTCCAAAAAAAAAAAAAAAAAAAAAAAAGGATTAGGCTGGGTGGTGCCTGTAGTCCCAGCTACTTGGGAGGCAGGGGGTCCACTTGATGTCGAGACTGCAGTGAGCCATGATCCTGCCACTGCACTCCGGCCTGGGCAACAGAGTGAGACCCTGTCTAAAGAAAAAAAAAATAAAGCAACATATCCTGAACAAAGGATCCTCCATAACGTTCCCACCAGATTTCTAATCAGAAACATGGAGGCCAGAAAGCAGTGGAGGAGGACAACCCTCAGGCAGCCCGGGAGGATGTTGTCACAGGCTGGGGCAAGGGCCTTCCGGCTACCAACTGGGAGCTCTGGGAACAGCCCTGTTGCAAACAAGAAGCCATAGCCCGGCCAGAGCCCAGGAATGTGGGCTGGGCTGGGAGCAGCCTCTGGACAGGAGTGGTCCCATCCAGGAAACCTCCGGCATGGCTGGGAAGTGGGGTACTTGGTGCCGGGTCTGTATGTGTGTGTGACTGGTGTGTGTGAGAGAGAATGTGTGCCCTAAGTGTCAGTGTGAGTCTGTGTATGTGTGAATATTGTCTTTGTGTGGGTGATTTTCTGCGTGTGTAATCGTGTCCCTGCAAGTGTGAACAAGTGGACAAGTGTCTGGGAGTGGACAAGAGATCTGTGCACCATCAGGTGTGTGCATAGCGTCTGTGCATGTCAAGAGTGCAAGGTGAAGTGAAGGGACCAGGCCCATGATGCCACTCATCATCAGGAGCTCTAAGGCCCCAGGTAAGTGCCAGTGACAGATAAGGGTGCTGAAGGTCACTCTGGAGTGGGCAGGTGGGGGTAGGGAAAGGGCAAGGCCATGTTCTGGAGGAGGGGTTGTGACTACATTAGGGTGTATGAGCCTAGCTGGGAGGTGGATGGCCGGGTCCACTGAAACCCTGGTTATCCCAGAAGGCTTTGCAGGCTTCAGGAGCTTGGAGTGGGGAGAGGGGGTGACTTCTCCGACCAGGCCCCTCCACCGGCCTACCCTGGGTAAGGGCCTGGAGCAGGAAGCAGGGGCAAGAACCTCTGGAGCAGCCCATACCCGCCCTGGCCTGACTCTGCCACTGGCAGCACAGTCAACACAGCAGGTTCACTCACAGCAGAGGGCAAAGGCCATCATCAGCTCCCTTTATAAGGGAAGGGTCACGCGCTCGGTGTGCTGAGAGTGTCCTGCCTGGTCCTCTGTGCCTGGTGGGGTGGGGGTGCCAGGTGTGTCCAGAGGAGCCCATTTGGTAGTGAGGCAGGTATGGGGCTAGAAGCACTGGTGCCCCTGGCCGTGATAGTGGCCATCTTCCTGCTCCTGGTGGACCTGATGCACCGGCGCCAACGCTGGGCTGCACGCTACTCACCAGGCCCCCTGCCACTGCCCGGGCTGGGCAACCTGCTGCATGTGGACTTCCAGAACACACCATACTGCTTCGACCAGGTGAGGGAGGAGGTCCTGGAGGGCGGCAGAGGTGCTGAGGCTCCCCTACCAGAAGCAAACATGGATGGTGGGTGAAACCACAGGCTGGACCAGAAGCCAGGCTGAGAAGGGGAAGCAGGTTTGGGGGACTTCCTGGAGAAGGGCATTTATACATGGCATGAAGGACTGGATTTTCCAAAGGCCAAGGAAGAGTAGGGCAAGGGCCTGGAGGTGGAGCTGGACTTGGCAGTGGGCATGCAAGCCCATTGGGCAACATATGTTATGGAGTACAAAGTCCCTTCTGCTGACACCAGAAGGAAAGGCCTTGGGAATGGAAGATGAGTTAGTCCTGAGTGCCGTTTAAATCACGAAATCGAGGATGAAGGGGGTGCAGTGACCCGGTTCAAACCTTTTGCACTGTGGGTCCTCGGGCCTCACTGCTCACCGGCATGGACCATCATCTGGGAATGGGATGCTAACTGGGGCCTCTCGGCAATTTTGGTGACTCTTGCAAGGTCATACCTGGGTGACGCATCCAAACTGAGTTCCTCCATCACAGAAGGTGTGACCCCCACCCCCGCCCCACGATCAGGAGGCTGGGTCTCCTCCTTCCACCTGCTCACTCCTGGTAGCCCCGGGGGTCGTCCAAGGTTCAAATAGGACTAGGACCTGTAGTCTGGGGGGATCCTGGCTTGACAAGAGGCCCTGACCCTCCCTCTGCAGTTGCGGCGCCGCTTCGGGGACGTGTTCAGCCTGCAGCTGGCCTGGACGCCGGTGGTCGTGCTCAATGGGCTGGCGGCCGTGCGCGAGGCGCTGGTGACCCACGGCGAGGACACCGCCGACCGCCCGCCTGTGCCCATCACCCAGATCCTGGGTTTTGGGCCGCGTTCCCAAGGCAAGCAGCGGTGGGGACAGAGACAGATTTCCGTGGGACCCGGGTGGGTGATGACCGTAGTCCGAGCTGGGCAGAGAGGGCGCGGGGTCGTGGACATGAAACAGGCCAGCGAGTGGGGACAGCGGGCCAAGAAACCACCTGCACTAGGGAGGTGTGAGCATGGGGACGAGGGCGGGGCTTGTGACGAGTGGGCGGGGCCACTGCCGAGACCTGGCAGGAGCCCAATGGGTGAGGCTGGCGCATTTCCCAGCTGGAATCCGGTGTCGAAGTGGGGGGCGGGGACCGCACCTGTGCTGTAAGCTCAGTGTGGGTGGCGCGGGGCCCGCGGGGTCTTCCCTGAGTGCAAAGGCGGTCAGGGTGGGCAGAGACGAGGTGGGGCAAAGCCCTGCCCCAGCCAAGGGAGCAAGGTGGATGCACAAAGAGTGGGCCCTGTGACCAGCTGGACAGAGCCAGGGACTGCGGGAGACCAGGGGGAGCATAGGGTTGGAGTGGGTGGTGGATGGTGGGGCTAATGCCTTCATGGCCACGCGCACGTGCCCGTCCCACCCCCAGGGGTGTTCCTGGCGCGCTATGGGCCCGCGTGGCGCGAGCAGAGGCGCTTCTCCGTCTCCACCTTGCGCAACTTGGGCCTGGGCAAGAAGTCGCTGGAGCAGTGGGTGACCGAGGAGGCCGCCTGCCTTTGTGCCGCCTTCGCCAACCACTCCGGTGGGTGATGGGCAGAAGGGCACAAAGCGGGAACTGGGAAGGCGGGGGACGGGGAAGGCGACCCCTTACCCGCATCTCCCACCCCCAGGACGCCCCTTTCGCCCCAACGGTCTCTTGGACAAAGCCGTGAGCAACGTGATCGCCTCCCTCACCTGCGGGCGCCGCTTCGAGTACGACGACCCTCGCTTCCTCAGGCTGCTGGACCTAGCTCAGGAGGGACTGAAGGAGGAGTCGGGCTTTCTGCGCGAGGTGCGGAGCGAGAGACCGAGGAGTCTCTGCAGGGCGAGCTCCCGAGAGGTGCCGGGGCTGGACTGGGGCCTCGGAAGAGCAGGATTTGCATAGATGGGTTTGGGAAAGGACATTCCAGGAGACCCCACTGTAAGAAGGGCCTGGAGGAGGAGGGGACATCTCAGACATGGTCGTGGGAGAGGTGTGCCCGGGTCAGGGGGCACCAGGAGAGGCCAAGGACTCTGTACCTCCTATCCACGTCAGAGATTTCGATTTTAGGTTTCTCCTCTGGGCAAGGAGAGAGGGTGGAGGCTGGCACTTGGGGAGGGACTTGGTGAGGTCAGTGGTAAGGACAGGCAGGCCCTGGGTCTACCTGGAGATGGCTGGGGCCTGAGACTTGTCCAGGTGAAC
Source organism: Homo sapiens (assembly GCF_000001405.40). NCBI lineage: Eukaryota > Metazoa > Chordata > Mammalia > Primates > Hominidae > Homo > Homo sapiens. Next base: position 49,400 of record NW_014040931.1, on the reverse strand, counting down.
GCAGAGCACAGGAGGGATTGAGACCCCGTTCTGTCTGGTGTAGGTGCTGAATGCTGTCCCCGTCCTCCTGCATATCCCAGCGCTGGCTGGCAAGGTCCTACGCTTCCAAAAGGCTTTCCTGACCCAGCTGGATGAGCTGCTAACTGAGCACAGGATGACCTGGGACCCAGCCCAGCCCCCCCGAGACCTGACTGAGGCCTTCCTGGCAGAGATGGAGAAGGTGAGAGTGGCTGCCACGGTGGGGGGCAAGGGTGGTGGGTTGAGCGTCCCAGGAGGAATGAGGGGAGGCTGGGCAAAAGGTTGGACCAGTGCATCACCCGGCGAGCCGCATCTGGGCTGACAGGTGCAGAATTGGAGGTCATTTGGGGGCTACCCCGTTCTGTCCCGAGTATGCTCTCGGCCCTGCTCAGGCCAAGGGGAACCCTGAGAGCAGCTTCAATGATGAGAACCTGCGCATAGTGGTGGCTGACCTGTTCTCTGCCGGGATGGTGACCACCTCGACCACGCTGGCCTGGGGCCTCCTGCTCATGATCCTACATCCGGATGTGCAGCGTGAGCCCATCTGGGAAACAGTGCAGGGGCCGAGGGAGGAAGGGTACAGGCGGGGGCCCATGAACTTTGCTGGGACACCCGGGGCTCCAAGCACAGGCTTGACCAGGATCCTGTAAGCCTGACCTCCTCCAACATAGGAGGCAAGAAGGAGTGTCAGGGCCGGACCCCCTGGGTGCTGACCCATTGTGGGGACGCATGTCTGTCCAGGCCGTGTCCAACAGGAGATCGACGACGTGATAGGGCAGGTGCGGCGACCAGAGATGGGTGACCAGGCTCACATGCCCTACACCACTGCCGTGATTCATGAGGTGCAGCGCTTTGGGGACATCGTCCCCCTGGGTGTGACCCATATGACATCCCGTGACATCGAAGTACAGGGCTTCCGCATCCCTAAGGTAGGCCTGGCGCCCTCCTCACCCCAGCTCAGCACCAGCCCCTGGTGATAGCCCCAGCATGGCTACTGCCAGGTGGGCCCACTCTAGGAACCCTGGCCACCTAGTCCTCAATGCCACCACACTGACTGTCCCCACTTGGGTGGGGGGTCCAGAGTATAGGCAGGGCTGGCCTGTCCATCCAGAGCCCCCGTCTAGTGGGGAGACAAACCAGGACCTGCCAGAATGTTGGAGGACCCAGCGCCTGCAGGGAGAGGGGGCAGTGTGGGTGCCTCTGAGAGGTGTGACTGCGCCCTGCTGTGGGGTCGGAGAGGGTACTGTGGAGCTTCTCGGGCGCAGGACTAGTTGACAGAGTCCAGCTGTGTGCCAGGCAGTGTGTGTCCCCCGTGTGTTTGGTGGCAGGGGTCCCAGCATCCTAGAGTCCAGTCCCCACTCTCACCCTGCATCTCCTGCCCAGGGAACGACACTCATCACCAACCTGTCATCGGTGCTGAAGGATGAGGCCGTCTGGGAGAAGCCCTTCCGCTTCCACCCCGAACACTTCCTGGATGCCCAGGGCCACTTTGTGAAGCCGGAGGCCTTCCTGCCTTTCTCAGCAGGTGCCTGTGGGGAGCCCGGCTCCCTGTCCCCTTCCGTGGAGTCTTGCAGGGGTATCACCCAGGAGCCAGGCTCACTGACGCCCCTCCCCTCCCCACAGGCCGCCGTGCATGCCTCGGGGAGCCCCTGGCCCGCATGGAGCTCTTCCTCTTCTTCACCTCCCTGCTGCAGCACTTCAGCTTCTCCGTGGCCGCCGGACAGCCCCGGCCCAGCCACTCTCGTGTCGTCAGCTTTCTGGTGACCCCATCCCCCTATGAGCTTTGTGCTGTGCCCCGCTAGAATGGGGTACCTAGTCCCCAGCCTGCTCCCTAGCCAGAGGCTCTAATGTACAATAAAGCAATGTGGTAGTTCCAACTCGGGTCCCCTGCTCACGCCCTCGTTGGGATCATCCTCCTCAGGGCAACCCCACCCCTGCCTCATTCCTGCTTACCCCACCGCCTGGCCGCATTTGAGACGGGTACGTTGAGGCTGAGCAGATGTCAGTTACCCTTGCCCATAATCCCGTGTCCCCCACTGACCCAACTCTGACTGCCCAGATTGGTGACAAGGACTACATTGTCCTGGCATGTGGGGAAGGGGCCAGAATGGGCTGACTAGAGGTGTCAGTCAGCCCTGGATGTGGTGGAGAGGGCAGGACTCAGCCTGGAGGCCCATATTTCAGGCCTAACTCAGCCCACCCCACATCAGGGACAGCAGTCCTGCCAGCACCATCACAACAGTCACCTCCCTTCATATATGACACCCCAAAATGGAAGACAAATCATGTCAGGGAGCTATATGCCAGGGCTACCTCCCAGGGCTCAGTCGGCAGGTGCCAGAACATTCCCTGGGAAGGCCCCAGGAAAACCCAGGACCGAGCCACCGCCCTCAGCCTGTCACCTTGTGTCCAAAATTGGTGGGTTCTTGGTCTCACTGACTTCAAGAATGAAGCTGTGGACCCTCACGGTGAGTGTTACAGTTCTTAAAGATGGTGTGTTCAGAGTTTGTTCCTTCTGATGTTAAGACGTGTTCAGAGTTTCTTCCTTCTGGTGGGTGCGTGGTCTTGCTGGCTTCAGGAGTGAAGCTGCAGACCTTCACAGTGAGTGTTACGGCTCTTAAGGCTGCACGTACGGAGTTGTTCATTCTTCCTGGTGGGTTTGTGGTCTCACTGGCCTCAGGAGTGAAACTGCAGTCCTTCCAGTGTTACAACTCATAAAGGCAGTGTGGACCCAATGAGGGAGCAGCAGCAGCAAGACTTACTGCAAACAGCAAAAGAATGATGGCAACCAGGTTGCCGCTGCTACTTCAGGCAGCCTGCTTTTATTCCCTTATCTGACCCCCACCCACATCCTGCTGATTGGCCCATTTTACAGACAGTGGATTGGTCCACTTACAGAGAGCTGATTGGTGCATTTACAATCCCTGAGCTAGACACAGAGTACTGATTGGTATATTTACAAACCTTGAGCTAGACACAGAGTGCTGAATGGTGTATTTACAATCCCTTAGCTAGACATAAAGGTTGTCCCAGTCCCCACTAGATTAGCTAGATAGAGTAGACAGAGAGCACTGATTGGTGCGTTTACAAACCTTGAGTTAGACACAGGGTGCTGACTGGTGTGTTTACAAACCTTGAGCTAGACACAGAGTGCTGATTGGTGTATTTACAATCTTTTAGCTAGAAATAAAGGTTCCCCAAGTCCCCACCAGATTAGCTAGATAGAGTGCTAATTGGTGCATGCACGAACCCGGAGCTAGACACAGAGTGCTGATTGGTGCATATACAATCCTCTGGCTAGACATAAAAGTTCTCCAAGTCCCCACCTGACTCAGGAGCCCAGCCAGCTTCGCCTAGTGGATCCTATGCCAGGGCCACAGGCAGAGCTGCCTGCTAGTCCCACACCGGGCACCTGTACTCCTCAGCCCTTGGGCAGTGGACGGGACCAGGTGCCGTGGAGCAGTGGGAGGCACCCATCCGGGAGGCTCGGGCCTCGCAGGGAGCCCACCGTAGGGAGGCTTGGGCATGGCAGGCTGCAAGTCCTGAGCCCTGCCCCGCGGGGAGGTGACTGAGGCCTGGCGACAATTCAAGTGTGGTGAGCGCCGGCAGGCCAGCAGTACTGGGGGACCCGGTGCCCCCTCTGCAGCTGCTGGCCCAGGTGCTAAGCCCCTCACTGCCTGGGGCCAGAGGCACCAGCCGGCCGCTCCGAGTGCAGGGCCCGCTGAGCCCCTGCCCACCCAGAACTGGTGCTGGCCCGCGAGCAACCCAGGTTCCCGCACACGCCTCTCCCTCCATACCTCCCCGCAAGCAGACGGAGCCGGCTCCAGCCTCCACCAGTCCAGAGAGGGGCTCCCACAGTGCAGCGCTGGGCTGAAGGGCTCCTCAAGTGTGGTCAGAGCAGAAGCTGAGGCCGAGGAGGCGCTGAGAGCGAGCGAGGACCACCAGCACGTTGACACCTCTCAACCTCACCACAGGACTGGCCACCTCTCTGGGCCCTCAGGGATGCTGCTGTCTGGACCCCTGACCAGTGACGAGTTCGCACTCAGGGCCAGGCTGGCGCTGGAGGAGGACACTTGTTTGGCTCCAACCCTAGGTACCATCCTCCCAGTAGGGATCAGGCAGGGCCCACAGGCCTGCCCTAGGGACAGGAGTCAACCTTGGACCCATAAGGCACTGGGGCGGGCAGAGAAGGAGGAGGTGGCATGGGCAGCTGAGAGCCAGAGACCCTGACCCTAGTCCTTGCTCTGCCATTACCCCGTGTGACCCCGGGCCCACCCTTCCCCACCCTTCCCCACCCTTCCCCACCCCGGGCTTCTGTTTCCCTTCTGCCAACGAGAAGGCTGCTTCACCTGCCCCGAGTCCTGTCTTCCTGCTCTGCCTTCTGGGGCTGTGGCCCTTGCTGGCCTGGAGCCCCAACCAAGGGCAGGGACTGCTGTCCTCCACGTCTGTCCTCACCGACATAATGGGCTGGGCTGGGCACACAGGCAGTGCCCAAGAGTTTCTAATGAGCATATGATTACCTGAGTCCTGGGCAGACCTTCTTAGGGAACAGCCTGGGACAGAGAACCACAGACACTCTGAGGAGCCACCTGAGGCCTCTTTTGCCAGAGGACCCTACAGCCTCCCTGGCAGCAGTTCCGCCAGCATTTCTGTAAATGCCCTCATGCCAGGGTGCGGCCCGGCTGTCAGCACGAGAGGGACGTTGGTCTGTCCCCTGGCACCGAGTCAGTCAGAAGGGTGGCCAGGGCCCCCTTGGGCCCCTCCAGAGACAATCCACTGTGGTCACACGGCTCGGTGGCAGGAAGTGCTGTTCCTGCAGCTGTGGGGACAGGGAGTGTGGATGAAGCCAGGCTGGGTTTGTCTGAAGACGGAGGCCCCGAAAGGTGGCAGCCTGGCCTATAGCAGCAGCAACTCTTGGATTTATTGGAAAGATTTTCTTCACGGTTCTGAGTCTTGGGGGTGTTAGAGGCTCAGAACCAGTCCAGCCAGAGCTCTGTCATGGGCACGTAGACCCGGTCCCAGGGCCTTTGCTCTTTGCTGTCCTCAGAGGCCTCTGCAAAGTAGAAACAGGCAGCCTTGTGAGTCCCCTCCTGGGAGCAACCAACCCTCCCTCTGAGATGCCCCGGGGCCAGGTCAGCTGTGGTGAAAGGTAGGGATGCAGCCAGCTCAGGGGAGTGGCCCAGAGTTCCTGCCCACCCAAGGAGGCTCCCAGGAAGGTCAAGGCACCTGACTCCTGGGCTGCTTCCCTCCCCTCCCCTCCCCAGGTCAGGAAGGTGGGAAAGGGCTGGGGTGTCTGTGACCCTGGCAGTCACTGAGAAGCAGGGTGGAAGCAGCCCCCTGCAGCACGCTGGGTCAATGGTCTTACCAGATGGATACGCAGCAACTTCCTTTTGAACCTTTTTATTTTCCTGGCAGGAAGAAGAGGGATCCAGCAGTGAGATCAGGCAGGTTCTGTGTTGCACAGACAGGGAAACAGGCTCTGTCCACACAAAGTCGGTGGGGCCAGGATGAGGCCCAGTCTGTTCACACATGGCTGCTGCCTCTCAGCTCTGCACAGACGTCCTCGCTCCCCTGGGATGGCAGCTTGGCCTGCTGGTCTTGGGGTTGAGCCAGCCTCCAGCACTGCCTCCCTGCCCTGCTGCCTCCCACTCTGCAGTGCTCCATGGCTGCTCAGTTGGACCCACGCTGGAGACGTTCAGTCGAAGCCCCGGGCTGTCCTTACCTCCCAGTCTGGGGTACCTGCCACCTCCTGCTCAGCAGGAATGGGGCTAGGTGCTTCCTCCCCTGGGGACTTCACCTGCTCTCCCTCCTGGGATAAGACGGCAGCCTCCTCCTTGGGGGCAGCAGCATTCAGTCCTCCAGGTCTCCTGGGGGTCGTGACCTGCAGGAGGAATAAGAGGGCAGACTGGGCAGAAAGGCCTTCAGAGCACCTCATCCTCCTGTTCTCACACTGGGGTGTCACAGTCCTGGGAAGTTCTTCCTTTTCAGTTGAGCTGTGGTAACCTTGTGAGTTTCCTGGAGGGGGCCTGCCACTACCCTTGGGACTCCCTGCCGTGTGTCTGGGTCTAACTGAGCTCTGAAAGGAGAGAGCCCCAGCCCTGGGCCTTCCAGGGGAAGCCTTACCTCAGAGGTTGGCTTCTTCCTACTCTTGACTTTGCGTCTCTGCAGAGGGAGGTGGGAGGGGTGACACAACCCTGACACCCACACTATGAGTGATGAGTAGTCCTGCCCCGACTGGCCCATCCTTTCCAGGTGCAGTCCCCCTTACTGTGTCTGCCAAGGGTGCCAGCACAGCCGCCCCACTCCAGGGGAAGAGGAGTGCCAGCCCTTACCCACCTGAGTGGGCACAGTGTAGCATTTATTCATTAGCCCCCACACTGGCCTGACCATCTCCCCTGTGGGCTGCATGACAAGGAGAGAGAACAGGCTGAGGTGAGAGCTACTGTCAACACCTAAACCTAAAAAATCTATAATTGGGCTGGGCAGGGTGGCTCACGCCTGTAATCCCAGCACTTTGGGAGGCCGAGATGGGTGGATCACCTGAGGTCAGATGTTCGAGACCAGCCTGGCCAACATGGTGAAACCCCGTCTCTACTAAAAATACAAAAAATTAGCTGGGCGTGGTGGTGGGTGCCTGTAATCCCAGCTACTCAGGAGGCTGAGGCAGGAGAATTGCTTGAACCTGGGAGGCAGAGGTTGCAGTGAGCCGAGATCACACCATTGCACTCCAGTCTGGGTGATAAGTATGAAACGCCATCTCCAAAACAAAAGAAAAGCCTAATTCCCCAAGAACTGTCAGTCTTTCACCTGTCTGCTAGCTCCCAGGGAGACCCCACTTGCCAGGGCTGTCTACATTTGTCCTGAGATCTCTTCTGGTGGGAACAGCACTTTCCTCAGGAAAGTTTGTTGAAAGTCATCAGATCCATGATTGAAAATCGAAGCTGCCTGTGGTGATGGATAACAGCTGGGGTTAAAAAGCAGCAGCTGGGGCATGAGCGGTCCACAGTGAGTTTTTGTTGTTGTTTTTGTTTTTTTGGGTGGGGGATGGGGTCTTGCTAGGTCTCAAACTCCTGGCCTCAAGTCATCCTCCCATTACAGCCTTCTGAGTCACTGACACTACAGGTGTGAGCCACCATGTCCAGCTTGTAGTGGTTTTGAACAGCTCTTGCCCCTTCTTGGGAATCTAGGTGCCCTGCACGTGGGTAAGGCTGTCTGCAGCTGTGCCCATATTCAGGAAGGCCGGCAAGGCCCTGAGCCCTCACCCGTGACTGACCTGAGGTGCTGTGCAGACAGCAGGTGACGGCTAAGGGAAAGTTGAGCACTGCCTAGCCGAGCACTGAAGCCACGCCCGGCACACAGAGAGAGACCCACTCGGCAAAGACTTCGCTTCCAGGCACCTAAGGAACTCTCTGACCAGTCATTAGCTGACCACTGCCGTAACTGAAGAGCGGCTTCAGTGGCCACAGCTCGCAGGGAATGGAGACATTAATGCTTAGTCAGAATTAGTTCAGAAAAGTCACCCAGCAAAGAAACAGCTCCAACAGGCAACAACAACAACACATCCTTGGCAGGGAAGAGAATCTGACTTCCGGAGTTGCCACATTATCGCCCGTGAAATGTCCAGGTTTTAACAAATTATGAGACATGGAAAGGAAACCGAAAGGACGACCCAGACACGGGAAAAGTCACCAATGGGACCAGCCCGATGCTGCAATTGCTAGACAAAGACGTTCAGTCAGCTCATTTAAATATGTTCAAAGACCTAAAACATGCTGCATCTGAGGCTGCACCGGCTGGAACCTGCTGATCTCGGAAGCTAAGCATGGTCAGGCCTGGCTAGTACTTCAAAGGGAGAAACCACGTGTAGGCCTGGTGCAGTGGCTCACACCTATAATCCTAGCACTCTGGGAAGCTGAGGCCCGTGGATTGCTTGAGCCCAGGAGTTTGAGAGCAGCTTGGGAAATGTGGTGAGACCCCCATCTCTACAAAAAATTTAAAAAATTAGCTGGCTGCCTATGGTCCCAGCCTCTCAGGATGCTGAGGTAGGAGGATCACTTCAGCCCAGGAAGTTGAGGCTGCAGTGAGCCATGACTGCATCACTGCACTCCAGCTTGGGCGACAGAGAGACCCTCTCCCAAGAAAAAGAAAAGAACCATGTCAAAAGAACTAACGAAAGTGTGGGAACAATGTCTCACCAATTAGAGAATATCAATAATGGGATGAACCTTATAAAAAGGGGCTGGGCATGGTGGCTCATGCCTATAATCCCAGCACTTTGGGAGGCTGAGGCGGGCATATCATGAGGTCAAGAGATTGAGACCAGCCTGGCCAACATGGTGAAACCCCGTCTCTACTTAAAATACAAAAATTAGCCGGGCGTGGTGGCACGTGCCTGTAATCCCAGCTACTCGGGAGGCTGAGGCAGGAGAATCGCTTGAACCCGAGAGGCAGAGATTGCAGTGAGCCGAGATTGCACCACTGCACTACAGCCTGGGTGACAGAGCGATACTCCAAAAAACAAAACAAAACAAAAAACAAAAAAAAAGTTTAAAAAGGAACCAAATAAAAATTCTGGAGTTGTAGGGTAAAATAAATGAAAATTCATCCCAGGGGCCCAAGAGCAGATTGGAACAATTGGAAGAAAGAGCCTGTGACTATGGAGAGAGGCCACCTGAGGTAGTCCCCTCTGAGGAACAGGAACAAGCATGAAGAGCAATGCACAGAGATCCAGAGACCTGGAGACGCCGTCAAGCTTTCCGACATACACACAATGGGAGTCCCAGGAAAGAAGACAGGGAGAAAGGAGTAAAGGAATAGTTGAAGAATTAATGGCTGAAAAACCTCCCAAATCTGATGAAAAATATTAATCCGTACATCCAAAAAGCTCATCAAACTCCAAGTAGGGTAAACTCAAAGAGATCTTCAGCCATACGCATCATCATAATCACTGTCAAAAGACAGATTTTTCTTTTTTTAGAATTTTAAATGTACCTTTTAATTTGCTCCTGGGGCAAAGAGCCAGGACTGGTACTAGAGCAGTGTCTGGGATGAGAAGAATTTAATAAAATGGGATTAGGTCCAATGGTTGGGTTAGGGGAGGCAACCTGCTCGGAAGGATCAGCCTCAACCTATCCATGCAGCAGGGCCTCCACCTGTCCCTCTCCGTAGTCCCACACCTGGAACCCAGAGCCATCTGCCTCTTCCCAGATCATGGCCGACAGCACTCCACCGGACTGCTGCTGGAGCAGGCACAGGATTCACTTATTGAGGGCTGTGGCCTGGCACAGATCATAGCCTATACCCAGGGACAGTTGTGTCACTTCTGCCACCACCACATCCGCCTTCTGCAGCCACATCAAGTACCACTCATGGATGAGCCCGTCACCCCCAGCGGACTTATCAACCCCGCGTCCAGCTCCACAGCCGCCACGTGCTCGGTGAGCACTGGCTCCAAGCATGGCAGCTGCCATACAATCCACCTGTAGAGGGCCCGGTCCTCCTGTCCTCAGTGGATGATCCCGTAGAAGTCCAGAGCTCGGCAGCTGCCCTCCCACAAAAGACAGGATTTTGAAAGCAGCAAGAGAGAAGAGACGTATCAGGTAGTCACAGTGGCTCAGGCCTGTAATCCCAGCACTTTGGGAGGCCCAGGTGGGAGGATCGCTTCACCCCAGGAATTCAAGACCAGCCTGGACAACTTGGAAGAACCCGGTCTCTACAAAAAATACAAAATTAGCTGGGATTGGGTGCGGTGGCTCATGCCTATAATCCCAGCACTTTGGGAGCCTGAGGTGGGTGGATCACCTGAAGTCAGGAGTTCAAGACTAGCCTGGCCAACATGGTGAAACCCTATCTCTACTGAAAATATAAAAAGCTAGACGTGGTGGCACACACCTGTAATCCCAGCTACTTAGGAGGCTGAGGCAGGAGAATTGCTTGAAGCCTAGAGGTGAAGGTTGTAGTGAGCCGAGATTGCATCATTGCACAATGGAGGGGAGCCACCAGCCTGGGCAACAAGAGGAAATCTCCGTCTCCAAAAAAAAAAAAAAAAAAAAAAAAGGATTAGGCTGGGTGGTGCCTGTAGTCCCAGCTACTTGGGAGGCAGGGGGTCCACTTGATGTCGAGACTGCAGTGAGCCATGATCCTGCCACTGCACTCCGGCCTGGGCAACAGAGTGAGACCCTGTCTAAAGAAAAAAAAAATAAAGCAACATATCCTGAACAAAGGATCCTCCATAACGTTCCCACCAGATTTCTAATCAGAAACATGGAGGCCAGAAAGCAGTGGAGGAGGACAACCCTCAGGCAGCCCGGGAGGATGTTGTCACAGGCTGGGGCAAGGGCCTTCCGGCTACCAACTGGGAGCTCTGGGAACAGCCCTGTTGCAAACAAGAAGCCATAGCCCGGCCAGAGCCCAGGAATGTGGGCTGGGCTGGGAGCAGCCTCTGGACAGGAGTGGTCCCATCCAGGAAACCTCCGGCATGGCTGGGAAGTGGGGTACTTGGTGCCGGGTCTGTATGTGTGTGTGACTGGTGTGTGTGAGAGAGAATGTGTGCCCTAAGTGTCAGTGTGAGTCTGTGTATGTGTGAATATTGTCTTTGTGTGGGTGATTTTCTGCGTGTGTAATCGTGTCCCTGCAAGTGTGAACAAGTGGACAAGTGTCTGGGAGTGGACAAGAGATCTGTGCACCATCAGGTGTGTGCATAGCGTCTGTGCATGTCAAGAGTGCAAGGTGAAGTGAAGGGACCAGGCCCATGATGCCACTCATCATCAGGAGCTCTAAGGCCCCAGGTAAGTGCCAGTGACAGATAAGGGTGCTGAAGGTCACTCTGGAGTGGGCAGGTGGGGGTAGGGAAAGGGCAAGGCCATGTTCTGGAGGAGGGGTTGTGACTACATTAGGGTGTATGAGCCTAGCTGGGAGGTGGATGGCCGGGTCCACTGAAACCCTGGTTATCCCAGAAGGCTTTGCAGGCTTCAGGAGCTTGGAGTGGGGAGAGGGGGTGACTTCTCCGACCAGGCCCCTCCACCGGCCTACCCTGGGTAAGGGCCTGGAGCAGGAAGCAGGGGCAAGAACCTCTGGAGCAGCCCATACCCGCCCTGGCCTGACTCTGCCACTGGCAGCACAGTCAACACAGCAGGTTCACTCACAGCAGAGGGCAAAGGCCATCATCAGCTCCCTTTATAAGGGAAGGGTCACGCGCTCGGTGTGCTGAGAGTGTCCTGCCTGGTCCTCTGTGCCTGGTGGGGTGGGGGTGCCAGGTGTGTCCAGAGGAGCCCATTTGGTAGTGAGGCAGGTATGGGGCTAGAAGCACTGGTGCCCCTGGCCGTGATAGTGGCCATCTTCCTGCTCCTGGTGGACCTGATGCACCGGCGCCAACGCTGGGCTGCACGCTACTCACCAGGCCCCCTGCCACTGCCCGGGCTGGGCAACCTGCTGCATGTGGACTTCCAGAACACACCATACTGCTTCGACCAGGTGAGGGAGGAGGTCCTGGAGGGCGGCAGAGGTGCTGAGGCTCCCCTACCAGAAGCAAACATGGATGGTGGGTGAAACCACAGGCTGGACCAGAAGCCAGGCTGAGAAGGGGAAGCAGGTTTGGGGGACTTCCTGGAGAAGGGCATTTATACATGGCATGAAGGACTGGATTTTCCAAAGGCCAAGGAAGAGTAGGGCAAGGGCCTGGAGGTGGAGCTGGACTTGGCAGTGGGCATGCAAGCCCATTGGGCAACATATGTTATGGAGTACAAAGTCCCTTCTGCTGACACCAGAAGGAAAGGCCTTGGGAATGGAAGATGAGTTAGTCCTGAGTGCCGTTTAAATCACGAAATCGAGGATGAAGGGGGTGCAGTGACCCGGTTCAAACCTTTTGCACTGTGGGTCCTCGGGCCTCACTGCTCACCGGCATGGACCATCATCTGGGAATGGGATGCTAACTGGGGCCTCTCGGCAATTTTGGTGACTCTTGCAAGGTCATACCTGGGTGACGCATCCAAACTGAGTTCCTCCATCACAGAAGGTGTGACCCCCACCCCCGCCCCACGATCAGGAGGCTGGGTCTCCTCCTTCCACCTGCTCACTCCTGGTAGCCCCGGGGGTCGTCCAAGGTTCAAATAGGACTAGGACCTGTAGTCTGGGGGGATCCTGGCTTGACAAGAGGCCCTGACCCTCCCTCTGCAGTTGCGGCGCCGCTTCGGGGACGTGTTCAGCCTGCAGCTGGCCTGGACGCCGGTGGTCGTGCTCAATGGGCTGGCGGCCGTGCGCGAGGCGCTGGTGACCCACGGCGAGGACACCGCCGACCGCCCGCCTGTGCCCATCACCCAGATCCTGGGTTTTGGGCCGCGTTCCCAAGGCAAGCAGCGGTGGGGACAGAGACAGATTTCCGTGGGACCCGGGTGGGTGATGACCGTAGTCCGAGCTGGGCAGAGAGGGCGCGGGGTCGTGGACATGAAACAGGCCAGCGAGTGGGGACAGCGGGCCAAGAAACCACCTGCACTAGGGAGGTGTGAGCATGGGGACGAGGGCGGGGCTTGTGACGAGTGGGCGGGGCCACTGCCGAGACCTGGCAGGAGCCCAATGGGTGAGGCTGGCGCATTTCCCAGCTGGAATCCGGTGTCGAAGTGGGGGGCGGGGACCGCACCTGTGCTGTAAGCTCAGTGTGGGTGGCGCGGGGCCCGCGGGGTCTTCCCTGAGTGCAAAGGCGGTCAGGGTGGGCAGAGACGAGGTGGGGCAAAGCCCTGCCCCAGCCAAGGGAGCAAGGTGGATGCACAAAGAGTGGGCCCTGTGACCAGCTGGACAGAGCCAGGGACTGCGGGAGACCAGGGGGAGCATAGGGTTGGAGTGGGTGGTGGATGGTGGGGCTAATGCCTTCATGGCCACGCGCACGTGCCCGTCCCACCCCCAGGGGTGTTCCTGGCGCGCTATGGGCCCGCGTGGCGCGAGCAGAGGCGCTTCTCCGTCTCCACCTTGCGCAACTTGGGCCTGGGCAAGAAGTCGCTGGAGCAGTGGGTGACCGAGGAGGCCGCCTGCCTTTGTGCCGCCTTCGCCAACCACTCCGGTGGGTGATGGGCAGAAGGGCACAAAGCGGGAACTGGGAAGGCGGGGGACGGGGAAGGCGACCCCTTACCCGCATCTCCCACCCCCAGGACGCCCCTTTCGCCCCAACGGTCTCTTGGACAAAGCCGTGAGCAACGTGATCGCCTCCCTCACCTGCGGGCGCCGCTTCGAGTACGACGACCCTCGCTTCCTCAGGCTGCTGGACCTAGCTCAGGAGGGACTGAAGGAGGAGTCGGGCTTTCTGCGCGAGGTGCGGAGCGAGAGACCGAGGAGTCTCTGCAGGGCGAGCTCCCGAGAGGTGCCGGGGCTGGACTGGGGCCTCGGAAGAGCAGGATTTGCGTAGATGGGTTTGGGAAAGGACATTCCAGGAGACCCCACTGTAAGAAGGGCCTGGAGGAGGAGGGGACATCTCAGACATGGTCGTGGGAGAGGTGTGCCCGGGTCAGGGGGCACCAGGAGAGGCCAAGGACTCTGTACCTCCTATCCACGTCAGAGATTTCGATTTTAGGTTTCTCCTCTGGGCAAGGAGAGAGGGTGGAGGCTGGCACTTGGGGAGGGACTTGGTGAGGTCAGTGGTAAGGACAGGCAGGCCCTGGGTCTACCTGGAGATGGCTGGGGCCTGAGACTTGTCCAGGTGAACGCAGAGCACAGGAGGGATTGAGACCCCGTTCTGTCTGGTGTAGGTGCTGAATGCTGTCCCCGTCCTCCTGCATATCCCAGCGCTGGCTGGCAAGGTCCTACGCTTCCAAAAGGCTTTCCTGACCCAGCTGGATGAGCTGCTAACTGAGCACAGGATGACCTGGGACCCAGCCCAGCCCCCCCGAGACCTGACTGAGGCCTTCCTGGCAGAGATGGAGAAGGTGAGAGTGGCTGCCACGGTGGGGGGCAAGGGTGGTGGGTTGAGCGTCCCAGGAGGAATGAGGGGAGGCTGGGCAAAAGGTTGGACCAGTGCATCACCCGGCGAGCCGCATCTGGGCTGACAGGTGCAGAATTGGAGGTCATTTGGGGGCTACCCCGTTCTGTCCCGAGTATGCTCTCGGCCCTGCTCAGGCCAAGGGGAACCCTGAGAGCAGCTTCAATGATGAGAACCTGCGCATAGTGGTGGCTGACCTGTTCTCTGCCGGGATGGTGACCACCTCGACCACGCTGGCCTGGGGCCTCCTGCTCATGATCCTACATCCGGATGTGCAGCGTGAGCCCATCTGGGAAACAGTGCAGGGGCCGAGGGAGGAAGGGTACAGGCGGGGGCCCATGAACTTTGCTGGGACACCCGGGGCTCCAAGCACAGGCTTGACCAGGATCCTGTAAGCCTGACCTCCTCCAACATAGGAGGCAAGAAGGAGTGTCAGGGCCGGACCCCCTGGGTGCTGACCCATTGTGGGGACGCATGTCTGTCCAGGCCGTGTCCAACAGGAGATCGACGACGTGATAGGGCAGGTGCGGCGACCAGAGATGGGTGACCAGGCTCACATGCCCTACACCACTGCCGTGATTCATGAGGTGCAGCGCTTTGGGGACATCGTCCCCCTGGGTGTGACCCATATGACATCCCGTGACATCGAAGTACAGGGCTTCCGCATCCCTAAGGTAGGCCTGGCGCCCTCCTCACCCCAGCTCAGCACCAGCCCCTGGTGATAGCCCCAGCATGGCTACTGCCAGGTGGGCCCACTCTAGGAACCCTGGCCACCTAGTCCTCAATGCCACCACACTGACTGTCCCCACTTGGGTGGGGGGTCCAGAGTATAGGCAGGGCTGGCCTGTCCATCCAGAGCCCCCGTCTAGTGGGGAGACAAACCAGGACCTGCCAGAATGTTGGAGGACCCAGCGCCTGCAGGGAGAGGGGGCAGTGTGGGTGCCTCTGAGAGGTGTGACTGCGCCCTGCTGTGGGGTCGGAGAGGGTACTGTGGAGCTTCTCGGGCGCAGGACTAGTTGACAGAGTCCAGCTGTGTGCCAGGCAGTGTGTGTCCCCCGTGTGTTTGGTGGCAGGGGTCCCAGCATCCTAGAGTCCAGTCCCCACTCTCACCCTGCATCTCCTGCCCAGGGAACGACACTCATCACCAACCTGTCATCGGTGCTGAAGGATGAGGCCGTCTGGGAGAAGCCCTTCCGCTTCCACCCCGAACACTTCCTGGATGCCCAGGGCCACTTTGTGAAGCCGGAGGCCTTCCTGCCTTTCTCAGCAGGTGCCTGTGGGGAGCCCGGCTCCCTGTCCCCTTCCGTGGAGTCTTGCAGGGGTATCACCCAGGAGCCAGGCTCACTGACGCCCCTCCCCTCCCCACAGGCCGCCGTGCATGCCTCGGGGAGCCCCTGGCCCGCATGGAGCTCTTCCTCTTCTTCACCTCCCTGCTGCAGCACTTCAGCTTCTCCGTGGCCGCCGGACAGCCCCGGCCCAGCCACTCTCGTGTCGTCAGCTTTCTGGTGACCCCATCCCCCTATGAGCTTTGTGCTGTGCCCCGCTAGAATGGGGTACCTAGTCCCCAGCCTGCTCCCTAGCCAGAGGCTCTAATGTACAATAAAGCAATGTGGTAGTTCCAACTCGGGTCCCCTGCTCACGCCCTCGTTGGGATCATCCTCCTCAGGGCAACCCCACCCCTGCCTCATTCCTGCTTACCCCACCGCCTGGCCGCATTTGAGACGGGTACGTTGAGGCTGAGCAGATGTCAGTTACCCTTGCCCATAATCCCGTGTCCCCCACTGACCCAACTCTGACTGCCCAGATTGGTGACAAGGACTACATTGTCCTGGCATGTGGGGAAGGGGCCAGAATGGGCTGACTAGAGGTGTCAGTCAGCCCTGGATGTGGTGGAGAGGGCAGGACTCAGCCTGGAGGCCCATATTTCAGGCCTAACTCAGCCCACCCCACATCAGGGACAGCAGTCCTGCCAGCACCATCACAACAGTCACCTCCCTTCATATATGACACCCCAAAATGGAAGACAAATCATGTCAGGGAGCTATATGCCAGGGCTACCTCCCAGGGCTCAGTCGGCAGGTGCCAGAACATTCCCTGGGAAGGCCCCAGGAAAACCCAGGACCGAGCCACCGCCCTCAGCCTGTCACCTTGTGTCCAAAATTGGTGGGTTCTTGGTCTCACTGACTTCAAGAATGAAGCTGTGGACCCTCACGGTGAGTGTTACAGTTCTTAAAGATGGTGTGTTCAGAGTTTGTTCCTTCTGATGTTAAGACGTGTTCAGAGTTTCTTCCTTCTGGTGGGTGCGTGGTCTTGCTGGCTTCAGGAGTGAAGCTGCAGACCTTCACAGTGAGTGTTACGGCTCTTAAGGCTGCACGTACGGAGTTGTTCATTCTTCCTGGTGGGTTTGTGGTCTCACTGGCCTCAGGAGTGAAACTGCAGTCCTTCCAGTGTTACAACTCATAAAGGCAGTGTGGACCCAATGAGGGAGCAGCAGCAGCAAGACTTACTGCAAACAGCAAAAGAATGATGGCAACCAGGTTGCCGCTGCTACTTCAGGCAGCCTGCTTTTATTCCCTTATCTGACCCCCACCCACATCCTGCTGATTGGCCCATTTTACAGACAGTGGATTGGTCCACTTACAGAGAGCTGATTGGTGCATTTACAATCCCTGAGCTAGACACAGAGTACTGATTGGTATATTTACAAACCTTGAGCTAGACACAGAGTGCTGAATGGTGTATTTACAATCCCTTAGCTAGACATAAAGGTTGTCCCAGTCCCCACTAGATTAGCTAGATAGAGTAGACAGAGAGCACTGATTGGTGCGTTTACAAACCTTGAGTTAGACACAGGGTGCTGACTGGTGTGTTTACAAACCCTGAGCTAGACACAGAGTGCTGATTGGTGTATTTACAATCTTTTAGCTAGAAATAAAGGTTCCCCAAGTCCCCACCAGATTAGCTAGATACAGAGTGCTAATTGGTGCATGCACGAACCCGGAGCTAGACACAGAGTGCTGATTGGTGCATATACAATTCTCTGGCTAGACATAAAAGTTCTCCAAGTCCCCACCTGACTCAGGAGCCCAGCCAGCTTCGCCTAGTGGATCCTATGCCAGGGCCACAGGCAGAGCTGCCTGCTAGTCCCACACCAGGCACCTGTACTCCTCAGCCCTTGGGCAGTGGACGGGACCAGGTGCCGTGGAGCAGTGGGAGGCACCCATCCGGGAGGCTTGGGCCTCGCAGGGAGCCCACCGTAGGGAGGCTTGGGCATGGCAGGCTGCAAGTCCTGAGCCCTGCCCCGCGGGGAGGTGACTGAGGCCTGGCGACAATTCAAGTGTGGTGAGCGCCGGCAGGCCAGCAGTACTGGGGGACCCGGTGCCCCCTCTGCAGCTGCTGGCCCAGGTGCTAAGCCCCTCACTGCCTGGGGCCAGAGGCACCAGCCGGCCGCTCCGAGTGCAGGGCCCGCTGAGCCCCTGCCCACCCAGAACTGGTGCTGGCCCGCGAGCAACCCAGGTTCCCGCACACGCCTCTCCCTCCATACCTCCCCGCAAGCAGACGGAGCCGGCTCCAGCCTCCACCAGTCCAGAGAGGGGCTCCCACAGTGCAGCGCTGGGCTGAAGGGCTCCTCAAGTGTGGTCAGAGCAGAAGCTGAGGCCGAGGAGGCGCTGAGAGCGAGCGAGGACCGCCAGCACGTTGACACCTCTCAACCTCACCACAGGACTGGCCACCTCTCTGGGCCCTCAGGGATGCTGCTGTCTGGACCCCTGACCAGTGACGAGTTCGCACTCAGGGCCAGGCTGGCGCTGGAGGAGGACACTTGTTTGGCTCCAACCCTAGGTACCATCCTCCCAGTAGGGATCAGGCAGGGCCCACAGGCCTGCCCTAGGGACAGGAGTCAACCTTGGACCCATAAGGCACTGGGGCGGGCAGAGAAGGAGGAGGTGGCATGGGCAGCTGAGAGCCAGAGACCCTGACCCTAGTCCTTGCTCTGCCATTACCCCGTGTGACCCCGGGCCCACCCTTCCCCACCCTTCCCCACCCTTCCCCACCCCGGGCTTCTGTTTCCCTTCTGCCAACGAGAAGGCTGCTTCACCTGCCCCGAGTCCTGTCTTCCTGCTCTGCCTTCTGGGGCTGTGGCCCTTGCTGGCCTGGAGCCCCAACCAAGGGCAGGGACTGCTGTCCTCCACATCTGTCCTCACCGACATAATGGGCTGGGCTGGGCACACAGGCAGTGCCCAAGAGTTTCTAATGAGCATATGATTACCTGAGTCCTGGGCAGACCTTCTTAGGGAACAGCCTGGGACAGAGAACCACAGACACTCTGAGGAGCCACCTGAGGCCTCTTTTGCCAGAGGACCCTACAGCCTCCCTGGCAGCAGTTCCGCCAGCATTTCTGTAAATGCCCTCATGCCAGGGTGCGGCCCGGCTGTCAGCACGAGAGGGACGTTGGTCTGTCCCCTGGCACCGAGTCAGTCAGAAGGGTGGCCAGGGCCCCCTTGGGCCCCTCCAGAGACAATCCACTGTGGTCACACGGCTCGGTGGCAGGAAGTGCTGTTCCTGCAGCTGTGGGGACAGGGAGTGTGGATGAAGCCAGGCTGGGTTTGTCTGAAGACGGAGGCCCCGAAAGGTGGCAGCCTGGCCTATAGCAGCAGCAACTCTTGGATTTATTGGAAAGATTTTCTTCACGGTTCTGAGTCTTGGGGGTGTTAGAGGCTCAGAACCAGTCCAGCCAGAGCTCTGTCATGGGCACGTAGACCCGGTCCCAGGGCCTTTGCTCTTTGCTGTCCTCAGAGGCCTCTGCAAAGTAGAAACAGGCAGCCTTGTGAGTCCCCTCCTGGGAGCAACCAACCCTCCCTCTGAGATGCCCCGGGGCCAGGTCAGCTGTGGTGAAAGGTAGGGATGCAGCCAGCTCAGGGGAGTGGCCCAGAGTTCCTGCCCACCCAAGGAGGCTCCCAGGAAGGTCAAGGCACCTGACTCCTGGGCTGCTTCCCTCCCCTCCCCTCCCCAGGTCAGGAAGGTGGGAAAGGGCTGGGGTGTCTGTGACCCTGGCAGTCACTGAGAAGCAGGGTGGAAGCAGCCCCCTGCAGCACGCTGGGTCAATGGTCTTACCAGATGGATACGCAGCAACTTCCTTTTGAACCTTTTTATTTTCCTGGCAGGAAGAAGAGGGATCCAGCAGTGAGATCAGGCAGGTTCTGTGTTGCACAGACAGGGAAACAGGCTCTGTCCACACAAAGTCGGTGGGGCCAGGATGAGGCCCAGTCTGTTCACACATGGCTGCTGCCTCTCAGCTCTGCACAGACGTCCTCGCTCCCCTGGGATGGCAGCTTGGCCTGCTGGTCTTGGGGTTGAGCCAGCCTCCAGCACTGCCTCCCTGCCCTGCTGCCTCCCACTCTGCAGTGCTCCATGGCTGCTCAGTTGGACCCACGCTGGAGACGTTCAGTCGAAGCCCCGGGCTGTCCTTACCTCCCAGTCTGGGGTACCTGCCACCTCCTGCTCAGCAGGAATGGGGCTAGGTGCTTCCTCCCCTGGGGACTTCACCTGCTCTCCCTCCTGGGATAAGACGGCAGCCTCCTCCTTGGGGGCAGCAGCATTCAGTCCTCCAGGTCTCCTGGGGGTCGTGACCTGCAGGAGGAATAAGAGGGCAGACTGGGCAGAAAGGCCTTCAGAGCACCTCATCCTCCTGTTCTCACACTGGGGTGTCACAGTCCTGGGAAGTTCTTCCTTTTCAGTTGAGCTGTGGTAACCTTGTGAGTTTCCTGGAGGGGGCCTGCCACTACCCTTGGGACTCCCTGCCGTGTGTCTGGGTCTAACTGAGCTCTGAAAGGAGAGAGCCCCAGCCCTGGGCCTTCCAGGGGAAGCCTTACCTCAGAGGTTGGCTTCTTCCTACTCTTGACTTTGCGTCTCTGCAGAGGGAGGTGGGAGGGGTGACACAACCCTGACACCCACACTATGAGTGATGAGTAGTCCTGCCCCGACTGGCCCATCCTTTCCAGGTGCAGTCCCCCTTACTGTGTCTGCCAAGGGTGCCAGCACAGCCGCCCCACTCCAGGGGAAGAGGAGTGCCAGCCCTTACCCACCTGAGTGGGCACAGTGTAGCATTTATTCATTAGCCCCCACACTGGCCTGACCATCTCCCCTGTGGGCTGCATGACAAGGAGAGAGAACAGGCTGAGGTGAGAGCTACTGTCAACACCTAAACCTAAAAAATCTATAATTGGGCTGGGCAGGGTGGCTCACGCCTGTAATCCCAGCACTTTGGGAGGCCGAGATGGGTGGATCACCTGAGGTCAGATGTTCGAGACCAGCCTGGCCAACATGGTGAAACCCCGTCTCTACTAAAAATACAAAAAATTAGCTGGGCGTGGTGGTGGGTGCCTGTAATCCCAGCTACTCAGGAGGCTGAGGCAGGAGAATTGCTTGAACCTGGGAGGCAGAGGTTGCAGTGAGCCGAGATCACACCATTGCACTCCAGTCTGGGTGATAAGTATGAAACGCCATCTCCAAAACAAAAGAAAAGCCTAATTCCCCAAGAACTGTCAGTCTTTCACCTGTCTGCTAGCTCCCAGGGAGACCCCACTTGCCAGGGCTGTCTACATTTGTCCTGAGATCTCTTCTGGTGGGAACAGCACTTTCCTCAGGAAAGTTTGTTGAAAGTCATCAGATCCATGATTGAAAATCGAAGCTGCCTGTGGTGATGGATAACAGCTGGGGTTAAAAAGCAGCAGCTGGGGCATGAGCGGTCCACAGTGAGTTTTTGTTGTTGTTTTTGTTTTTTTGGGTGGGGGATGGGGTCTTGCTAGGTCTCAAACTCCTGGCCTCAAGTCATCCTCCCATTACAGCCTTCTGAGTCACTGACACTACAGGTGTGAGCCACCATGTCCAGCTTGTAGTGGTTTTGAACAGCTCTTGCCCCTTCTTGGGAATCTAGGTGCCCTGCACGTGGGTAAGGCTGTCTGCAGCTGTGCCCATATTCAGGAAGGCCGGCAAGGCCCTGAGCCCTCACCCGTGACTGACCTGAGGTGCTGTGCAGACAGCAGGTGACGGCTAAGGGAAAGTTGAGCACTGCCTAGCCGAGCACTGAAGCCACGCCCGGCACACAGAGAGAGACCCACTCGGCAAAGACTTCGCTTCCAGGCACCTAAGGAACTCTCTGACCAGTCATTAGCTGACCACTGCCGTAACTGAAGAGCGGCTTCAGTGGCCACAGCTCGCAGGGAATGGAGACATTAATGCTTAGTCAGAATTAGTTCAGAAAAGTCACCCAGCAAAGAAACAGCTCCAACAGGCAACAACAACAACACATCCTTGGCAGGGAAGAGAATCTGACTTCCGGAGTTGCCACATTATCGCCCGTGAAATGTCCAGGTTTTAACAAATTATGAGACATGGAAAGGAAACCGAAAGGACGACCCAGACACGGGAAAAGTCACCAATGGGACCAGCCCGATGCTGCAATTGCTAGACAAAGACGTTCAGTCAGCTCATTTAAATATGTTCAAAGACCTAAAACATGCTGCATCTGAGGCTGCACCGGCTGGAACCTGCTGATCTCGGAAGCTAAGCATGGTCAGGCCTGGCTAGTACTTCAAAGGGAGAAACCACGTGTAGGCCTGGTGCAGTGGCTCACACCTATAATCCTAGCACTCTGGGAAGCTGAGGCCCGTGGATTGCTTGAGCCCAGGAGTTTGAGAGCAGCTTGGGAAATGTGGTGAGACCCCCATCTCTACAAAAAATTTAAAAAATTAGCTGGCTGCCTATGGTCCCAGCCTCTCAGGATGCTGAGGTAGGAGGATCACTTCAGCCCAGGAAGTTGAGGCTGCAGTGAGCCATGACTGCATCACTGCACTCCAGCTTGGGCGACAGAGAGACCCTCTCCCAAGAAAAAGAAAAGAACCATGTCAAAAGAACTAACGAAAGTGTGGGAACAATGTCTCACCAATTAGAGAATATCAATAATGGGATGAACCTTATAAAAAGGGGCTGGGCATGGTGGCTCATGCCTATAATCCCAGCACTTTGGGAGGCTGAGGCGGGCATATCATGAGGTCAAGAGATTGAGACCAGCCTGGCCAACATGGTGAAACCCCGTCTCTACTTAAAATACAAAAATTAGCCGGGCGTGGTGGCACGTGCCTGTAATCCCAGCTACTCGGGAGGCTGAGGCAGGAGAATCGCTTGAACCCGAGAGGCAGAGATTGCAGTGAGCCGAGATTGCACCACTGCACTACAGCCTGGGTGACAGAGCGATACTCCAAAAAACAAAACAAAACAAAAAACAAAAAAAAAGTTTAAAAAGGAACCAAATAAAAATTCTGGAGTTGTAGGGTAAAATAAATGAAAATTCATCCCAGGGGCCCAAGAGCAGATTGGAACAATTGGAAGAAAGAGCCTGTGACTATGGAGAGAGGCCACCTGAGGTAGTCCCCTCTGAGGAACAGGAACAAGCATGAAGAGCAATGCACAGAGATCCAGAGACCTGGAGACGCCGTCAAGCTTTCCGACATACACACAATGGGAGTCCCAGGAAAGAAGACAGGGAGAAAGGAGTAAAGGAATAGTTGAAGAATTAATGGCTGAAAAACCTCCCAAATCTGATGAAAAATATTAATCCGTACATCCAAAAAGCTCATCAAACTCCAAGTAGGGTAAACTCAAAGAGATCTTCAGCCATACGCATCATCATAATCACTGTCAAAAGACAGATTTTTCTTTTTTTAGAATTTTAAATGTACCTTTTAATTTGCTCCTGGGGCAAAGAGCCAGGACTGGTACTAGAGCAGTGTCTGGGATGAGAAGAATTTAATAAAATGGGATTAGGTCCAATGGTTGGGTTAGGGGAGGCAACCTGCTCGGAAGGATCAGCCTCAACCTATCCATGCAGCAGGGCCTCCACCTGTCCCTCTCCGTAGTCCCACACCTGGAACCCAGAGCCATCTGCCTCTTCCCAGATCATGGCCGACAGCACTCCACCGGACTGCTGCTGGAGCAGGCACAGGATTCACTTATTGAGGGCTGTGGCCTGGCACAGATCATAGCCTATACCCAGGGACAGTTGTGTCACTTCTGCCACCACCACATCCGCCTTCTGCAGCCACATCAAGTACCACTCATGGATGAGCCCGTCACCCCCAGCGGACTTATCAACCCCGCGTCCAGCTCCACAGCCGCCACGTGCTCGGTGAGCACTGGCTCCAAGCATGGCAGCTGCCATACAATCCACCTGTAGAGGGCCCGGTCCTCCTGTCCTCAGTGGATGATCCCGTAGAAGTCCAGAGCTCGGCAGCTGCCCTCCCACAAAAGACAGGATTTTGAAAGCAGCAAGAGAGAAGAGACGTATCAGGTAGTCACAGTGGCTCAGGCCTGTAATCCCAGCACTTTGGGAGGCCCAGGTGGGAGGATCGCTTCACCCCAGGAATTCAAGACCAGCCTGGACAACTTGGAAGAACCCGGTCTCTACAAAAAATACAAAATTAGCTGGGATTGGGTGCGGTGGCTCATGCCTATAATCCCAGCACTTTGGGAGCCTGAGGTGGGTGGATCACCTGAAGTCAGGAGTTCAAGACTAGCCTGGCCAACATGGTGAAACCCTATCTCTACTGAAAATATAAAAAGCTAGACGTGGTGGCACACACCTGTAATCCCAGCTACTTAGGAGGCTGAGGCAGGAGAATTGCTTGAAGCCTAGAGGTGAAGGTTGTAGTGAGCCGAGATTGCATCATTGCACAATGGAGGGGAGCCACCAGCCTGGGCAACAAGAGGAAATCTCCGTCTCCAAAAAAAAAAAAAAAAAAAAAAAAGGATTAGGCTGGGTGGTGCCTGTAGTCCCAGCTACTTGGGAGGCAGGGGGTCCACTTGATGTCGAGACTGCAGTGAGCCATGATCCTGCCACTGCACTCCGGCCTGGGCAACAGAGTGAGACCCTGTCTAAAGAAAAAAAAAATAAAGCAACATATCCTGAACAAAGGATCCTCCATAACGTTCCCACCAGATTTCTAATCAGAAACATGGAGGCCAGAAAGCAGTGGAGGAGGACAACCCTCAGGCAGCCCGGGAGGATGTTGTCACAGGCTGGGGCAAGGGCCTTCCGGCTACCAACTGGGAGCTCTGGGAACAGCCCTGTTGCAAACAAGAAGCCATAGCCCGGCCAGAGCCCAGGAATGTGGGCTGGGCTGGGAGCAGCCTCTGGACAGGAGTGGTCCCATCCAGGAAACCTCCGGCATGGCTGGGAAGTGGGGTACTTGGTGCCGGGTCTGTATGTGTGTGTGACTGGTGTGTGTGAGAGAGAATGTGTGCCCTAAGTGTCAGTGTGAGTCTGTGTATGTGTGAATATTGTCTTTGTGTGGGTGATTTTCTGCGTGTGTAATCGTGTCCCTGCAAGTGTGAACAAGTGGACAAGTGTCTGGGAGTGGACAAGAGATCTGTGCACCATCAGGTGTGTGCATAGCGTCTGTGCATGTCAAGAGTGCAAGGTGAAGTGAAGGGACCAGGCCCATGATGCCACTCATCATCAGGAGCTCTAAGGCCCCAGGTAAGTGCCAGTGACAGATAAGGGTGCTGAAGGTCACTCTGGAGTGGGCAGGTGGGGGTAGGGAAAGGGCAAGGCCATGTTCTGGAGGAGGGGTTGTGACTACATTAGGGTGTATGAGCCTAGCTGGGAGGTGGATGGCCGGGTCCACTGAAACCCTGGTTATCCCAGAAGGCTTTGCAGGCTTCAGGAGCTTGGAGTGGGGAGAGGGGGTGACTTCTCCGACCAGGCCCCTCCACCGGCCTACCCTGGGTAAGGGCCTGGAGCAGGAAGCAGGGGCAAGAACCTCTGGAGCAGCCCATACCCGCCCTGGCCTGACTCTGCCACTGGCAGCACAGTCAACACAGCAGGTTCACTCACAGCAGAGGGCAAAGGCCATCATCAGCTCCCTTTATAAGGGAAGGGTCACGCGCTCGGTGTGCTGAGAGTGTCCTGCCTGGTCCTCTGTGCCTGGTGGGGTGGGGGTGCCAGGTGTGTCCAGAGGAGCCCATTTGGTAGTGAGGCAGGTATGGGGCTAGAAGCACTGGTGCCCCTGGCCGTGATAGTGGCCATCTTCCTGCTCCTGGTGGACCTGATGCACCGGCGCCAACGCTGGGCTGCACGCTACTCACCAGGCCCCCTGCCACTGCCCGGGCTGGGCAACCTGCTGCATGTGGACTTCCAGAACACACCATACTGCTTCGACCAGGTGAGGGAGGAGGTCCTGGAGGGCGGCAGAGGTGCTGAGGCTCCCCTACCAGAAGCAAACATGGATGGTGGGTGAAACCACAGGCTGGACCAGAAGCCAGGCTGAGAAGGGGAAGCAGGTTTGGGGGACTTCCTGGAGAAGGGCATTTATACATGGCATGAAGGACTGGATTTTCCAAAGGCCAAGGAAGAGTAGGGCAAGGGCCTGGAGGTGGAGCTGGACTTGGCAGTGGGCATGCAAGCCCATTGGGCAACATATGTTATGGAGTACAAAGTCCCTTCTGCTGACACCAGAAGGAAAGGCCTTGGGAATGGAAGATGAGTTAGTCCTGAGTGCCGTTTAAATCACGAAATCGAGGATGAAGGGGGTGCAGTGACCCGGTTCAAACCTTTTGCACTGTGGGTCCTCGGGCCTCACTGCTCACCGGCATGGACCATCATCTGGGAATGGGATGCTAACTGGGGCCTCTCGGCAATTTTGGTGACTCTTGCAAGGTCATACCTGGGTGACGCATCCAAACTGAGTTCCTCCATCACAGAAGGTGTGACCCCCACCCCCGCCCCACGATCAGGAGGCTGGGTCTCCTCCTTCCACCTGCTCACTCCTGGTAGCCCCGGGGGTCGTCCAAGGTTCAAATAGGACTAGGACCTGTAGTCTGGGGGGATCCTGGCTTGACAAGAGGCCCTGACCCTCCCTCTGCAGTTGCGGCGCCGCTTCGGGGACGTGTTCAGCCTGCAGCTGGCCTGGACGCCGGTGGTCGTGCTCAATGGGCTGGCGGCCGTGCGCGAGGCGCTGGTGACCCACGGCGAGGACACCGCCGACCGCCCGCCTGTGCCCATCACCCAGATCCTGGGTTTTGGGCCGCGTTCCCAAGGCAAGCAGCGGTGGGGACAGAGACAGATTTCCGTGGGACCCGGGTGGGTGATGACCGTAGTCCGAGCTGGGCAGAGAGGGCGCGGGGTCGTGGACATGAAACAGGCCAGCGAGTGGGGACAGCGGGCCAAGAAACCACCTGCACTAGGGAGGTGTGAGCATGGGGACGAGGGCGGGGCTTGTGACGAGTGGGCGGGGCCACTGCCGAGACCTGGCAGGAGCCCAATGGGTGAGGCTGGCGCATTTCCCAGCTGGAATCCGGTGTCGAAGTGGGGGGCGGGGACCGCACCTGTGCTGTAAGCTCAGTGTGGGTGGCGCGGGGCCCGCGGGGTCTTCCCTGAGTGCAAAGGCGGTCAGGGTGGGCAGAGACGAGGTGGGGCAAAGCCCTGCCCCAGCCAAGGGAGCAAGGTGGATGCACAAAGAGTGGGCCCTGTGACCAGCTGGACAGAGCCAGGGACTGCGGGAGACCAGGGGGAGCATAGGGTTGGAGTGGGTGGTGGATGGTGGGGCTAATGCCTTCATGGCCACGCGCACGTGCCCGTCCCACCCCCAGGGGTGTTCCTGGCGCGCTATGGGCCCGCGTGGCGCGAGCAGAGGCGCTTCTCCGTCTCCACCTTGCGCAACTTGGGCCTGGGCAAGAAGTCGCTGGAGCAGTGGGTGACCGAGGAGGCCGCCTGCCTTTGTGCCGCCTTCGCCAACCACTCCGGTGGGTGATGGGCAGAAGGGCACAAAGCGGGAACTGGGAAGGCGGGGGACGGGGAAGGCGACCCCTTACCCGCATCTCCCACCCCCAGGACGCCCCTTTCGCCCCAACGGTCTCTTGGACAAAGCCGTGAGCAACGTGATCGCCTCCCTCACCTGCGGGCGCCGCTTCGAGTACGACGACCCTCGCTTCCTCAGGCTGCTGGACCTAGCTCAGGAGGGACTGAAGGAGGAGTCGGGCTTTCTGCGCGAGGTGCGGAGCGAGAGACCGAGGAGTCTCTGCAGGGCGAGCTCCCGAGAGGTGCCGGGGCTGGACTGGGGCCTCGGAAGAGCAGGATTTGCGTAGATGGGTTTGGGAAAGGACATTCCAGGAGACCCCACTGTAAGAAGGGCCTGGAGGAGGAGGGGACATCTCAGACATGGTCGTGGGAGAGGTGTGCCCGGGTCAGGGGGCACCAGGAGAGGCCAAGGACTCTGTACCTCCTATCCACGTCAGAGATTTCGATTTTAGGTTTCTCCTCTGGGCAAGGAGAGAGGGTGGAGGCTGGCACTTGGGGAGGGACTTGGTGAGGTCAGTGGTAAGGACAGGCAGGCCCTGGGTCTACCTGGAGATGGCTGGGGCCTGAGACTTGTCCAGGTGAACGCAGAGCACAGGAGGGATTGAGACCCCGTTCTGTCTGGTGTAGGTGCTGAATGCTGTCCCCGTCCTCCTGCATATCCCAGCGCTGGCTGGCAAGGTCCTACGCTTCCAAAAGGCTTTCCTGACCCAGCTGGATGAGCTGCTAACTGAGCACAGGATGACCTGGGACCCAGCCCAGCCCCCCCGAGACCTGACTGAGGCCTTCCTGGCAGAGATGGAGAAGGTGAGAGTGGCTGCCACGGTGGGGGGCAAGGGTGGTGGGTTGAGCGTCCCAGGAGGAATGAGGGGAGGCTGGGCAAAAGGTTGGACCAGTGCATCACCCGGCGAGCCGCATCTGGGCTGACAGGTGCAGAATTGGAGGTCATTTGGGGGCTACCCCGTTCTGTCCCGAGTATGCTCTCGGCCCTGCTCAGGCCAAGGGGAACCCTGAGAGCAGCTTCAATGATGAGAACCTGCGCATAGTGGTGGCTGACCTGTTCTCTGCCGGGATGGTGACCACCTCGACCACGCTGGCCTGGGGCCTCCTGCTCATGATCCTACATCCGGATGTGCAGCGTGAGCCCATCTGGGAAACAGTGCAGGGGCCGAGGGAGGAAGGGTACAGGCGGGGGCCCATGAACTTTGCTGGGACACCCGGGGCTCCAAGCACAGGCTTGACCAGGATCCTGTAAGCCTGACCTCCTCCAACATAGGAGGCAAGAAGGAGTGTCAGGGCCGGACCCCCTGGGTGCTGACCCATTGTGGGGACGCATGTCTGTCCAGGCCGTGTCCAACAGGAGATCGACGACGTGATAGGGCAGGTGCGGCGACCAGAGATGGGTGACCAGGCTCACATGCCCTACACCACTGCCGTGATTCATGAGGTGCAGCGCTTTGGGGACATCGTCCCCCTGGGTGTGACCCATATGACATCCCGTGACATCGAAGTACAGGGCTTCCGCATCCCTAAGGTAGGCCTGGCGCCCTCCTCACCCCAGCTCAGCACCAGCCCCTGGTGATAGCCCCAGCATGGCTACTGCCAGGTGGGCCCACTCTAGGAACCCTGGCCACCTAGTCCTCAATGCCACCACACTGACTGTCCCCACTTGGGTGGGGGGTCCAGAGTATAGGCAGGGCTGGCCTGTCCATCCAGAGCCCCCGTCTAGTGGGGAGACAAACCAGGACCTGCCAGAATGTTGGAGGACCCAGCGCCTGCAGGGAGAGGGGGCAGTGTGGGTGCCTCTGAGAGGTGTGACTGCGCCCTGCTGTGGGGTCGGAGAGGGTACTGTGGAGCTTCTCGGGCGCAGGACTAGTTGACAGAGTCCAGCTGTGTGCCAGGCAGTGTGTGTCCCCCGTGTGTTTGGTGGCAGGGGTCCCAGCATCCTAGAGTCCAGTCCCCACTCTCACCCTGCATCTCCTGCCCAGGGAACGACACTCATCACCAACCTGTCATCGGTGCTGAAGGATGAGGCCGTCTGGGAGAAGCCCTTCCGCTTCCACCCCGAACACTTCCTGGATGCCCAGGGCCACTTTGTGAAGCCGGAGGCCTTCCTGCCTTTCTCAGCAGGTGCCTGTGGGGAGCCCGGCTCCCTGTCCCCTTCCGTGGAGTCTTGCAGGGGTATCACCCAGGAGCCAGGCTCACTGACGCCCCTCCCCTCCCCACAGGCCGCCGTGCATGCCTCGGGGAGCCCCTGGCCCGCATGGAGCTCTTCCTCTTCTTCACCTCCCTGCTGCAGCACTTCAGCTTCTCGGTGCCCACTGGACAGCCCCGGCCCAGCCACCATGGTGTCTTTGCTTTCCTGGTGACCCCATCCCCCTATGAGCTTTGTGCTGTGCCCCGCTAGAATGGGGTACCTAGTCCCCAGCCTGCTCCCTAGCCAGAGGCTCTAATGTACAATAAAGCAATGTGGTAGTTCCAACTCGGGTCCCCTGCTCACGCCCTCGTTGGGATCATCCTCCTCAGGGCAACCCCACCCCTGCCTCATTCCTGCTTACCCCACCGCCTGGCCGCATTTGAGACAGGGGTATGTTGAGGCTGAGCAGATGTCAGTTACCCTTGCCCATAATCCCATGTCCCCCACTGACCCAACTCTGACTGCCCAGATTGGTGACAAGGACTACATTGTCCTGGCATGTGGGGAAGGGGCCAGAATGGGCTGACTAGAGGTGTCAGTCAGCCCTGGATGTGGTGGAGAGGGCAGGACTCAGCCTGGAGGCCCATATTTCAGGCCTAACTCAGCCCACCCCACATCAGGGACAGCAGTCCTGCCAGCACCATCACAACAGTCACCTCCCTTCATATATGACACCCCAAAACGGAAGACAAATCATGGCGTCAGGGAGCTATAGGCCAGGGCTACCTACCTCCCAGGGCTCAGTCGGCAGGTGCCAGAACGTTCCCTGGGAAGGCCCCATGGAAGCCCAGGACTGAGCCACCGCCCTCAGCCTCGTCACCTCACCACAGGACTGGCTACCTCTCTGGGCCCTCAGGGACGCTGCTGTACAGACCCCTGACCAGTGACGAGTTCGCACTCAGGGCCAGGCTGGCGCTGGAGGAGGACACTTGTTTGGCTCCAACCCTAGGTACCATCCTCCCAGTAGGGATCAGGCAGGGCCCACAGGCCTGCCCTAGGGACAGGAGTCAACCTTGGACCCATAAGGCACTGGGGCGGGCAGAGAAGGAGGAGGTGGCATGGGCAGCTGAGAGCCAGAGACCCTGACCCTAGTCCTTGCTCTGCCATTACCCCGTGTGACCCCGGGCCCACCCTTCCCCACCCTTCCCCACCCTTCCCCACCCCGGGCTTCTGTTTCCCTTCTGCCAACGAGAAGGCTGCTTCACCTGCCCTGAGTCCTGTCTTCCTGC
Source organism: Homo sapiens (assembly GCF_000001405.40). NCBI lineage: Eukaryota > Metazoa > Chordata > Mammalia > Primates > Hominidae > Homo > Homo sapiens. The sequence continues at coordinate 19,143 of NW_014040931.1, read as the reverse complement.
TCTGCCTTCTGGGGCTGTGGCCCTTGCTGGCCTGGAGCCCCAACCAAGGGCAGGGACTGCTGTCCTCCACGTCTGTCCTCACCGACATAATGGGCTGGGCTGGGCACACAGGCAGTGCCCAAGAGTTTCTAATGAGCATATGATTACCTGAGTCCTGGGCAGACCTTCTTAGGGAACAGCCTGGGACAGAGAACCACAGACACTCTGAGGAGCCACCTGAGGCCTCTTTTGCCAGAGGACCCTACAGCCTCCCTGGCAGCAGTTCCGCCAGCATTTCTGTAAATGCCCTCATGCCAGGGTGCGGCCCGGCTGTCAGCACGAGAGGGACGTTGGTCTGTCCCCTGGCACCGAGTCAGTCAGAAGGGTGGCCAGGGCCCCCTTGGGCCCCTCCAGAGACAATCCACTGTGGTCACACGGCTCGGTGGCAGGAAGTGCTGTTCCTGCAGCTGTGGGGACAGGGAGTGTGGATGAAGCCAGGCTGGGTTTGTCTGAAGACGGAGGCCCCGAAAGGTGGCAGCCTGGCCTATAGCAGCAGCAACTCTTGGATTTATTGGAAAGATTTTCTTCACGGTTCTGAGTCTTGGGGGTGTTAGAGGCTCAGAACCAGTCCAGCCAGAGCTCTGTCATGGGCACGTAGACCCGGTCCCAGGGCCTTTGCTCTTTGCTGTCCTCAGAGGCCTCTGCAAAGTAGAAACAGGCAGCCTTGTGAGTCCCCTCCTGGGAGCAACCAACCCTCCCTCTGAGATGCCCCGGGGCCAGGTCAGCTGTGGTGAAAGGTAGGGATGCAGCCAGCTCAGGGGAGTGGCCCAGAGTTCCTGCCCACCCAAGGAGGCTCCCAGGAAGGTCAAGGCACCTGACTCCTGGGCTGCTTCCCTCCCCTCCCCTCCCCAGGTCAGGAAGGTGGGAAAGGGCTGGGGTGTCTGTGACCCTGGCAGTCACTGAGAAGCAGGGTGGAAGCAGCCCCCTGCAGCACGCTGGGTCAGTGGTCTTACCAGATGGATACGCAGCAACTTCCTTTTGAACCTTTTTATTTTCCTGGCAGGAAGAAGAGGGATCCAGCAGTGAGATCAGGCAGGTTCTGTGTTGCACAGACAGGGAAACAGGCTCTGTCCACACAAAGTCGGTGGGCCAGGATGAGGCCCAGTCTGTTCACACATGGCTGCTGCCTCTCAGCTCTGCACAGACGTCCTCGCTCCCCTGGGATGGCAGCTTGGCCTGCTGGTCTTGGGGTTGAGCCAGCCTCCAGCACTGCCTCCCTGCCCTGCTGCCTCCCACTCTGCAGTGCTCCATGGCTGCTCAGTTGGACCCACGCTGGAGACGTTCAGTCGAAGCCCCGGGCTGTCCTTACCTCCCAGTCTGGGGTACCTGCCACCTCCTGCTCAGCAGGAATGGGGCTAGGTGCTTCCTCCCCTGGGGACTTCACCTGCTCTCCCTCCTGGGATAAGACGGCAGCCTCCTCCTTGGGGGCAGCAGCATTCAGTCCTCCAGGTCTCCTGGGGGTCGTGACCTGCAGGAGGAATAAGAGGGCAGACTGGGCAGAAAGGCCTTCAGAGCACCTCATCCTCCTGTTCTCACACTGGGGTGTCACAGTCCTGGGAAGTTCTTCCTTTTCAGTTGAGCTGTGGTAACCTTGTGAGTTTCCTGGAGGGGGCCTGCCACTACCCTTGGGACTCCCTGCCGTGTGTCTGGGTCTAACTGAGCTCTGAAAGGAGAGAGCCCCAGCCCTGGGCCTTCCAGGGGAAGCCTTACCTCAGAGGTTGGCTTCTTCCTACTCTTGACTTTGCGTCTCTGCAGAGGGAGGTGGGAGGGGTGACACAACCCTGACACCCACACTATGAGTGATGAGTAGTCCTGCCCCGACTGGCCCATCCTTTCCAGGTGCAGTCCCCCTTACTGTGTCTGCCAAGGGTGCCAGCACAGCCGCCCCACTCCAGGGGAAGAGGAGTGCCAGCCCTTACCCACCTGAGTGGGCACAGTGTAGCATTTATTCATTAGCCCCCACACTGGCCTGACCATCTCCCCTGTGGGCTGCATGACAAGGAGAGAGAACAGGCTGAGGTGAGAGCTACTGTCAACACCTAAACCTAAAAAATCTATAATTGGGCTGGGCAGGGTGGCTCACGCCTGTAATCCCAGCACTTTGGGAGGCCGAGATGGGTGGATCACCTGAGGTCAGATGTTCGAGACCAGCCTGGCCAACATGGTGAAACCCCGTCTCTACTAAAAATACAAAAAATTAGCTGGGCGTGGTGGTGGGTGCCTGTAATCCCAGCTACTCAGGAGGCTGAGGCAGGAGAATTGCTTGAACCTGGGAGACAGAGGCTGCAGTGAGCCGAGATCGCATCATTGCACTCCAGCCTGGTCAACAAGAGTGAAACTGTCTTAAAAAAAAAATCTATAATTGATATCTTTAGAAAGATAAAACTTTGCATTCATGAAATAAGAATAGGAGGGTCTAAAATAAAAATGTTCAAACACCCACCACCACTAATTCTTGACAAAAATATAGTCTGGGTGCCTTAGCTCATGCCTGTAATCCCAGCATTTTGGGAGGCTAAGGCAGGAGGATTGTTTGAGCCTAGGAATTCAACACCAGCCTGGGCCACCTAAGGAGACCCCATCTCTACAAAAAATTAAAATACTGGCTGGGTGTGGTGGCACACACCTGTAGTTCCAGCTGCTTGGGAGGCTGAGGTGGGAGGATCACTTGAGTCCAGGAACAAAGCTGCAGTGAACTGTGATCGTGCCACTGCACTCCAGCCTGGGCAACAGAGAAAGACCTTGCCTTAAAAATAAAAAATATAATAATAGGAATGCAAAATCTAATCAAAGTATAGAAGCTAAACTTGAAAAAAATATTTTCCAGAAAGAACAGAGAAGAGGTCAGGAGCTCCAACAGCTAAATTGTTGTTTAGATGTTTCTGAAACAGGCAGCAGAGACAACAGACTAGGAGGCAAGGAAAGATGTCTAATAAATACGTTTCTTTTTTGTCAAGACAAGTTCTCACAGAGGAAGAACATGAGTTTCCAGTAGAGAAGGAAACACCAAGTGTTCATGACAATGAATGAAGGGGACCCAGCCCCAATTTTGTTGTCAAGAAATTTCACAACACTGAGGACAGAGTGGAACCCAAAAACTTCCAGAGAGAAAAAAGTCTGAGCTTCAGGAATTCAACATTCATCAGACTTCTCAACACCAACCTTTGAAGCTATAAGATAATGAAGACCTTCAAAATCTGAGAGAAAATATTTCCAATCTAGAATTCTATACCTAGCCAAATGCTATGCAAGTATGAATTGAGGTCTTTTCGGATACATAAATGTCTCAAGACTACCCCTCAGGAAGCAACCGGAGGTTGTACTTCACTAAAATAAAGGAGAAATAGAAAAGAAGATAACATGGGACCCAGCACAACAGGCAGGGAGAGCCCCTGAGCATAAGGGTGAATGGGGAGCTCAGGAGGACAGCTGGGCAGCAGACCTCCAGGGTGCCCCATCCAGATGGAATCAGGGAGATGGAGGGCTCCTGAGGTATGTCTCCATGAAAATGATCATATGGAGAAATGACCTGATCTGTCTAAATGTACTGCAAAGAGATTTCTATTTTTGGCAGAAAATTTGGATGAATTAATTATTTAATAGATGCACAAAAAACTAAAGAAAGAGAAGAAGAAAAACTAAAATCATGACTCAACTGGGACTACTGTCTACATTTTTTGTTTTGAGAAAGAGTCTTGCTCTGTTGCCCAGACTGGAGTGCAGTGATCACGTTTCATTGCAGCCTCCACAACCTGTGCTCAAGTAAGTGACTCTCTTACCTCAGCCTCCTTAGTAGCTGGGATCACAGGGCACCACCACACTCAGCTAATTTTTTTTTTTAAATAGACAGTGTCTCCCAATGTTGTCCAGGCTGGTCTCGAACTCCTGGACTCAAGCGATCCTCCCATGTTGACCTCTCAAGTAGTTGGGATTACAGTCATGAGCCACTGTGCCTGACCTAGCTAATTTTTTTCTGATTTATTTATTTATTTTTTGTACAGAGTCTCACTATGTTGACCAGGCTGGCCTGGAACTTCTGAGCTCAAGAGATCCTCCTGCCTTCGCCTCCCAAAGTGCAGAGATTATAGGTGTAAACTATCACGCCTGGCCTGTTTACATAGTTTAATAATGTAAATCTTCAATACCGATCTAATAAAAATTGAAATATGCCTTTTAGAATGGCTTTCAAAGATAACAAATGCTGGAGAGGATGTAGAACAACTGGAACCTCTCGGTTATTGCTGGTGAGACAGCCGCTTTGAAAAAGTTTGAGTTTCTTACAAAATTAAACTTACACTTACACTTACCATATGACCCAAAAATTCCACTGCTTGCTCTTTACTCAAGTATAAGGAAAATCTATGTACACACAAAACTTGTACGTGAATATTTATTAATAGTCATTTTATGCCCCAAACTAGAAATAGTCCAAATGTTCTGGAACATCCATACAACGGACCACCACTCAATAAAAGGAACAAACTACGGATACACGTGACTAGATGAATCTCAAATGCTTTGTGCTAAGTAAAATAAACCAGACTGAAAAGGCTACCATACGTTTCCATTTATATGACAATCTTGCAAAGTCAAAACCACAGGAACAGGAAACTGTTCACTGATTGCCAGGGTGTGGGAGTAGGAGGAAGGGCTGACTACAGGTGACTATGGAGGATTTTTTTTTTTCTGAGACGGAGTCTCTGTCGCCCAGGCTGGAGTGTACTGGCACGATCTCGGCTCACTGCAACATCCACCTCCTGGGTTTAAGGTATTTTTAGTAGAGACGGGGTTTCACTATGTTGGCCAGGCTGGTCTCAAACTCCTGACCTCAGGTGATCCACCCGCTTCGGCCTCCCAAAGTGCTGGGATTATAGGCGTGAGCCACCGAGGCCAGCCACTTTTTTTTTTTTTTAAAGACAGAGTCTTGCTGTGTCACTCAGGCTGGAGTGCAGTGGCGTGATCCCAGCTCACTGCAGCCTTAACATCCTGCACTCAAGTGATCCTTCTACCTCAGCTTCCTGAGTAGCTGGGACCACAGGCACACCTCACCACACCCAGCTAATTTTTAATTTTTTTGTAGAGACAGGGTCTATGTTGCCCAGGCTGGTCTTGAACTCCTGGGCTCCACCAATCCTGCCTTGCCCTCCTCACAATGCCCGGCCCTTAGATTCTCTCTTTAACCTCTAACTCCACCCCGTCTTCCTCACTTTCAGCAGAGAGCATAGGCACCATCAGATGGGCATTTCCTCAACTTGCTGCCACCAAACCCATTCACTCACCGGCTTCTCATAGGCCATTTCCTCTTCCAGGGGAGGAGGGGAGGAGGCTCCCCTCCCTCTCCAAAGCTAGCCCTACTCCTGTGCCCCATTTCATCTGGTCTTCTCACCTGGGCATTTGGAGATCTCGTCTCACCTCAATATTCTCCTTTTCCTTTTTTCTGGCTCCTTCCATCAGCATCTAAACACATTGCTGATCTCTTCTATTAAAAAGAAAAAAGCCCTTCTCCCTTGAACCCATATTCCTTCTCCAGCTAGCGTCCTGACCCCTACCCTTCACACCAGTCTCCTGAGAGCGGTGTTGGCAGGGGGGTGTGTTTACTGCTTTCTACCTCTCCCGCGCTCCACAACCCACTTCAACCTGCATCTGTCTCCATAAGCCTCTGAAACCCCTCTCACTGAGGTCACCAGTACGCTCCTAGTCACCAAACCCAGATGACTCTTTCCTTTTTTTCTTTTTTTTTTTTTTTTTTTTTTTTTTTGAGACGGAGTCTCGCTCTGTCGCCCAGGCTGGAGTGCAGTGGCGTGATCTCGGCTCACTGCAAGCTCCGCCTCCCGGGTTCACACCATTCTCTTGCTTCAGCCTCCCGAGTAGCTGAGACTACAGGCGGCCCGCCACGAGGCCCAGCTAATTTTTTTGTATTTACTAGCAGAGGCGGGGTTTCCCCATGTTAGCCAGGATGGTCCTGATCTCCTGACCTCGTGATCCGCCTGCCTCGGTCTTCCAAAGTGCTGGGATTACAGGCATGAGCCACTGCACCCGGCCCCAGCTGACCCTTTCTTTAACGACCTCGCCTTTTCTCTTGGCTGCTTGACCTCTCATGCTCTGGTTTTCCTCCTGCCTCCCACTCCTCTCTCTCTCTATCTCTCAGTCTCTATCTCTGTCTCTCTTTCTGTCTCTGCCTCTCTCAGTCTCTATTTCTGTCTCTGCCTCTCTCTGTGTATCTCTATCTGTCTCTCTCTCTGTATCTCTGTCTCTCTCTGTATCTCTAGCTCTGTCTCTATCTCTGTCTCTGTCTCTGTCTATCTCTCTGTATCTCTAACTCTGTCTCTGTATCTGTTTCTGTCTCTCTATCTCTCTTTGTCTCTCTGTCTCTCTCTGCCTAAATCTCAGTGTCAAGTGTTGCTCCATGTCCTGCTGACGACAAAGACTCTGAACTTCCACCTCAGACACTCACTTCTAGGCCTTTGCATGTGCTGTTATCTACCTAGAATGTGTTTCTCCATGGCTTTCAGGAGGGCTCCCCTGACTACCTGAGTTCACGTGGGGTGGCCCTCCTCAGTGCTCTTAGGGTACTGTACTGTCCCCTGACTGAGGGACCACTTTAGGTCCGTCCACTGTCAAACCCCCAGTAGCTGCCCCTATGCGTGGGACACAGCAAGAGCTAAGTAACCAAATGAATGATTACATGGCTGTGGTTCATCCTAGTGCTTAAAGCCATGATCAGAGTTGAAAAGTTGCTGTATCTTATTCAGATTTCTACTAGCAACATATTCAATAGTAAGCTTTGTTAGTCATCTATAACCCGGTGTAAGTGAAGTTATCAGGTCTTTTTCTGGGAGGAGGTTTAGAGGAGGAAAGGAGAGAGAATGAGTCCTAAAGGAGAGAAGAGGAGTAGAAGGGGCATGTCAAGTAGAAAAGGATGTAGAAAAGGTAGGCTTGGGGTAAAAAGATAATTTTCACCTGCTTGGGTGGTTTATTGAGGGCAGCCTTTTAGGCCTGCTTACCAAAGAGGCCAGTCTTGATGACGCTAGAAATTTGCAGATAATCCTTTTACCATATCAGTGTCAGGCAGCTTATCCACCTCCTCTTGGGCTCTATGACCAAACCCAAGAAGAGCACTGAGGCCCAGCTAAGTCTGGGAGTTCAGTGCACAGGCCCCCCCTTTCGCACAGAGAGTGGTGTCTATGTGTGACATCGTGTCTTAGGGGGGCTTTATGACAGGACAACCTCTTCAACCTTGGCCAGAACAGCTTGTCAAATGCCTCGGGGTGGCTTTAAATCCCCAGTAGTGAGAGACAGCCCCTTTGTACATATCTCATTGTTTCAATTCAGCACAAACAGTGCTGACTGAGCAGCTACAATGTGCCAAGCTCTGTGTGAAGACCCATAGAGACACAAAGATGCAAAAGTGTGTAAGACTCAGTATTTTTTTTTTGTCTTTAAGACTGAGTCTTGATCTGTTGCCCAGGCTGGAGTGCAGTGGCATGATCATGGCTCACTGCAACCTCCACCTCTCAGGTTCAAGAGATTCTCATGCCTCAGGCTACCGAGTGGCTGGGATTACAGGTGTGCATCACCATGCCCAGCTAATTTTTTTGTATTTTTAGTAAAGACAGGGTCTTGTCATGTTGGCCAGGCTGGTCTCAAACTCCTGGCGTCAAGTGATCCACCCGCCTCGGCCTCCCAAAGTATTGAGATTACAGGCGTAAGCCACTGCACCCAGCCAAGACTCAGTCTTACTGCATAACACAATAAGCATATTTTCTAAATCCAAAACAAGAACACAGCCTAACAATTGAATGTCATCTATTCATTCATTCAACCAGTGTCTGCTGAGCTTCCATTTTGGTCCAAGCATTATGCTGAGAGGATCAAAGGTAAACAGGACATACAGCCTACCCTTGAGGAGCTCAAAGACTTCAAACAGACATTTTATGGTTCAAGACAATAACTTCTACCTTCCTGCAAATTTCTGTAAATGTAACAATAATTACAAATCTATGGGTGGTTGAAACTGAGGGATGGATGCCTCAGTTTCACATACACATGAAACATTCACCAAGATAGGCCATATTCTGGACCACGAAACAAATCTCAATGGATTTTAAATTTATTTCAAGTATGTCCTTCAAACACTGTGGAATTAAAAATTACAAATCAGTAACAGATTCCCAGAAAGAGTCTGAGCTCAGACTCACCTAACCCTGCCCCAACCTGACAGTATTTCTCTACCCGCCCTGGTAGCTGATCACAAAAGCCATAAACTCTTGGGAGCTTTATGGCCCTGTCCATCACCTGAGAAATCCTAATACTTATCCTGGCCAACTTAGGGCAAGCTTATATCCCCCTTCCAGTATTGCAGCTGGTGTTCTCTTGAAAGCGCCACCTCCTGGCTGGAGGCCAACCAAGTCAGGACATTACAGCAACTCACAACAGAATAACCCTGCTCCAAGAAATGAGAAACAGCTAATTCCACTGCTTTCAACATCCTGGCTAACCAGAGCTCCTGAGTCTGTCCACGTGACAACTTCACTGCTAGCATAACCAGCATTTGAGAAAGCCAGCACAGTAAACAAAACTACAAGCAAGGACTCTCACACTCACAGTCTACTTTACTCCCCTCCCACCTCCACCAGGGCAGGTGCTGGTGTCCATGGCCAGGAGAGCTAAAGACGGATCACATCACAGGACTCTTTGCAGACATTCCTCAGCACCAGCCTGGAACCTGGTAGCCCCACTGGGTGGCTGGACCCAGAAGAGCAATAGCAATCACTACAGTCTGGCTCTCACGAAGCTCCATCCCTAGGGGAAGTGAGAATGCATCACATCAAGGGGTCACTTTGTGGGACAAAAGAATCTGAACAGTAGCCCCTGAGTTCCAGATTTTTCCCCTGAAATAGTCTACCCAAGTGAGAAGAAATCAGAAAAATTGTAATATGACAAAACAAGGTTCTATAACACCTCCAAAAGACCATACTGGCTCCCCAGCAATGAATGCAAATCAAGAAGAAATCTCTGAATTGCCAGATAAACAATTCAGATGGTTGATTATTAAACTACTCAAGGAGAGACCAGAGAAAAGTGAAAACAAAGAAATGTAAAAAACAATACAGGCTATGGATTGGCCAGGCGCAGTGGCTCACACCTGTAAACCCAGCACTTTGGAAGGCTGAGGCGGGCTGATCACTTGAGGTCAGGAGTTTCAGACCAGCCTGGCCAACACAGTGAAACCCCATCTCTACTAAAAATACAAAAATCAGCCAGGCATGGTGGTGCGTGCCTGTAATACCAGCTATTTGGGAGACTGAGGCAGGGGGATTGCGTGAACCCAGGAGCCAGAGGTTGCAGTGAGCTGAGATTGCACCACTGCACTGTGAGCAACAGAGTGCTCAGAGTCTCAAAAAGGAAAGAAAGAAAGAAAGAAAAAGACAACAAAAAAAATACAGGCTATGGATGAAAAATTCTCCAGAGAAACAGATATTATAAAGAAAAAAAAATCACAATTTCTGCAAATGGAAGACACACTTAAAGAAATAAAAAATGCACTGGAAAGTGTCAACAACAGACTAGAACAAGTATGTAGGATACAATAAAATTCCTCTTCAAAGGTTTAGCCTGTTAACTTCCTTGTTCTTTGTTCTCAAACTCAACTTTCTTGTTCTCTATGCCTCCTTGTCCGTAGTTACTGTAACTGTAAACAACCTTCCTGTCAGTTCTAATCAATAACTCACATCTGTTCCCTTGGTTACCCACTCTTCACCCCTTCCTCCCTTAGAAACCGCACGTCCCACCACTGTAACTCACATTTCCCTTCCCTTCCTTATTTGGGAAAGTATTCACAAATAGCCAGTCGGGTCAGTTTAGATTGTGCAGTCCAACCACAGCCCATGAAGGAGTGACACAGAGGGAGGGATTGCATTAGGAATAAAAACCCCTGCTTTCCTTTGTTCAGTGTGCTCTTGCAATCGTGATTGACACAAGCAGCACCCTTCTGCAGAAGTAAACTGCCTTGCTGAGAAAACTTTCGCCTCAGTGCTGGTTTCACTTTGCAGCACTGAGCATTTATCTCCAACAAATCTGGGGCTCATCCAGGATTCCCATTCTCCTCCAGGGAAGGGGTCTCTGGTCACCTCTCATAAGGAGACGCATCCCACTGCCTCGTTGCGGTGGCCTCAGGGTGAGGGATCGGAACCCACCCGGTGTGACGAATAAATCCGGACTCTCAGCAATGTGGGGAAAAAAAGGCTTGCAACACCATGGTGACCAGGTAACTTTGTGCACAGACCAAGGTAAGAAACGTCACAGGGGTGACAAAGCATTTCCTTGGTGGTCAAGATATTCTGGAGATTGAAAGTGTGTATGAATGATCACAAGCATTACTGCTTGCGGTGCTGCTTGTGTGAATGGTACTAAGCACTACTGCTGTGCGGAATGAGTGTGTCCTATCTGAGGTTCCATGGTCACCTCATATGGCTTAGGACAGATCCTGCCATGGGGTTTATATGGGCGTGCCAAAGGTAAGAGGGACCTAAATTCCCCTCCGGGAAGCGACCAGAGTGGACGAAGCAAAAGAAGGGTGCAAGGAGCCTCCAGCAGGTGGGGCTAAAGGATAGAAATCTCTAGTATGAGGAATTGAGCCTCAATAAGCCTCCAGAAAAGGAGAGGCAAGAAATCTCTAATACGAGGGATTGAGCCTCAGCAAGCCTCCAGAAAAGGATAGGCAAGAAATCTCTAATATGAGGGACTGAGCCTAACTAGGACCCAACATGGGAAACACCCCAAGCAGGACACGGAGTAAAAAGGATAAAGACAGCAATAAAGATATTCCTGCTGTTAGTCCCCTAGGTCTCATGTTAAAATATTGGAAAGATAATGAGAGAACTAAACATAAGAAAAAGCAACAAATGACAAACAATTGCTGTTTTATTTGGACTCAGGGACCCATCCTCAAACCCTCAATCTTTTGGTCAAAGTTTGGGTTGAACAAGGATGTGATGTGTCAACTTCTAATTCAATATGTAAATGATAAAAGTCCAGTTTCTCAAGAAGAATTGGCCTATGCTCTTTGTTGGAGGCAGGGACCTGTCCTCCTCTTTCCCTTAAAGACAACTAGGGAAAAACCCAATCTAGCACCTCAAACTGAAGAGTGAGAAAAGCCAGTCCCCATGCCTAAAGACTCCAGCACATGGGATCCTCTAAACCATCTTCCCCCACGCTCAGTGCCCCTAACCCTTCCCCTCAGGTAGCAGCTGCTGTCCCCGTTCCTGCTCCAGATCCTTCTCCTGCTCATGTTATTCCTCCTCCTTACAATCCTGATTCTTGGGAATCACCATCCCATTAGCCTGTTCCTTCTCAGCCTAAGTACCCCTCCCTAAAAGGACTCCAACGTGAGGTAGAACAATGTAAAAAAGATATCCAAAATTTCCCATTTCCCTCCACATCTATGGAGTCAGCCCCAACTCTCTTCCCCTTAAAAGAGGTGCCACAAGGACAGGGGGGCTATTAATTTTGTGAATGCTCCCTTAACCAGTTCAGAGGTCTGAAGTTTGAAGAAGGAACTTAAGCCGTTATTGGATGACCTTATTGGGTAACAGATCAGGTTGATCAATTCTTAGGACCTCAGTTATACACTTGGGTGGAGTTAATGTCCATCCTAGGCGTCCTCTTTTCTTTTTTTTTTTTTTTTTTTTTTGAGACGGAGTCTCGCTCTGTCGCCCAGGCGGGACTGCGGACTGCAGTGGCGCAATCTCGGCTCACTGCAAGCTCCGCTTCCCGGGTTCACGCCATTCTCCTGCCTCAGCCTCCCGAGTAGCTGGGACTACAGGCGCCCGCCACCGCGCCCGGCTAATTTTTTTTGTATTTTTAGTAGAGACGGGGTTTCACCTTGTTAGCCAGGATGGTCTCGATCTCCTGACCTCATGATCCACCCGCCTCGGCCTCCCAAAGTGCTGGGATTACAGGCGTGAGCCACCGCGCCCGGCCTGCGTCCTCTTTTCAGGGGAGGAAAGAAGCATGATCTGTAGGGCTGCTATGGCAATTTGGGAACACGAACACCCTCCTGGTCAAACATTCCTACCGCAGATCAAAAGTTTCCCACCCAAGACCCCCGGTGGGACGATATTAATGCAGCTCACTGGGAAAATATGCAAGACCTAAGGGAAATGATAATAAAGGGAATTAGGGAATCAGTACCCTGAACCCAAAACCTCTCTAAAGCATTTGATATACAATAGGAAAAAGATGAGGGGGCCTATGAAATTTCTAGACAAGAATAAAGGACCAAACAAGACAATATGCAGGCCTAAATTTGGAAGATCTCCTTGGACAGGGAGTGTTAAAGCTCCATTTTGTCACTACAAGTTGGCCAGATATTTCAAAAAAGTTACAAAAATTAGAAGACTGGGAAAACCAACCTCTAAGTGAACTTCTGGGAGAAGCTCAAAAAATATATGTGAGGAAAGAAGCAAAAACAAAAGGCAAAAACTCACGTTATCCACTTTCCAGCAGGTGGCCCCACACCCACATGCTTCTAAACAAAGCTTCCAGGGGGCCAGAAACGATAGAAGGTCCAGACCCTCATTTATGCTTCTAAACAAAGCTTCCAGGGGGCCAGAAACTATAAAAGGTCCAGACCCTCGTTTATGCTTCTAAACAAAGCTTCCAGGGGGCCAGAAACTATAAAAGGTCCAGACCCTCATTTATGCTTCTAAACAAAGCTTCCAGGGGGCCAGAAACTATAAAAGGTCCAGACCCTCGTTTATGCTTCTAAACAAAGCTTCCAGGGGGCCAGAAACTATAAAAGGTCCAGACCCTCGTTTATGCTTCTAAACAAAGCTTCCAGGGGGCCAGAAACTATAAAAGGTCCAGACCCTCGTTTATGCTTCTAAACAAAGCTTCCAGGGGGCCAGAAACTATAAACGGTCCGTCCAGACCGTTTGAAGGGCAGGCCACTTCAAAAGAGAATGTCCCAAACTGGAAAAGGAGAAAGAAGCCCTTCAACTCATGACTTTTGAGGAAGAACAGGGGGGTCAGGGGCTCTGTTTATCTCGAGTCCCACCAGGAGCCCTTGATAAATTTACAGGTGGGAACCAAACATGAGCTTATCACCTTTTAGTCAATTCAGGAGTGGCTCGCTCCTCCATTTGCTTCCCCCCATCCAACATTGCCTGCTCTTCAGAAGAACTTTTAGTCTCTGGGGTAAAAGGAGAAGGATTTAAAGCAAAAATCTTAGAAAGTACAGAAGTTAAATACCAAGATCGGCTGACTCATATCCAATTTTTGTTGATCCCTGAGGCAGAAACTAATCTATTAGGAAGAGACTTAATGCTAGAATTAGGCACAGGCTTACAAGTTGGTCCTAAAGGATTCTTTACCTCATTAAACCTACTCACCACCACAGATGAAAAATGCATTAATCCTAGTGTCTGGTCAAGGGAAGGAAACCGGGAGAAACTCTGAATCCCTCCAATCCACATCAAGTTAAGAATCCCCAGGGAAGTAGTAAGGAGGAAACAATACCCCAAACCCCTAGAGGGCAGGATAGGATTAAAGCCTATAATTGAAAGTCTTATTAAAGATGGGCTCCTTGAACCCTGTATGTCCCCGTATAACACTCCAATATTGCCAGTCAAGAAATTAGATGCGTCATACCGACTTGGTACAAGATCTTAGAGCCATCAAATAGTCCAAACTAACCATCCTGTTGTCCCCAACCCATACACCATTCTCAGCAAAATTCCAAAAAACCATCAGTTGTTTACAGTAATAGATTTAAAAGATGCCTTCTGGGCATGCCCCTTGGCTGAAGACAGCTGAGACATATTTGCTTTTGAGTGGTAGGATCCCCATTCAGGGCGAAAACAACATTATTGATGGACAGTTTTACCTCAAGGGTTTACAGACTCTCCAAACCTTTTTGGTCAAATTTTAGAACAAGTGTTAGAAAAAGTTGTCATCCCAAAGCAAATATGCCTGCTCCAGTACATGGATGATATTCTCGTATCTGTTGAAGATGTAGAGAAAGTAGCTGGCTTCTCTACACATATCCTTAACCATCTGGAGTTCGAGGGGTTATGGTTCTTAAAGGGAAAGCTTCAGTATGTGGAGCCTGAAGTTAAATATTTAGGCCACTTAATAAGTGCAGGTAAGCAAAGGATAGGACCTGAACGAGTTGAAGGCATCGTGTCCTTACCCTTGCCTCAAACTAAGCAATAACTCAGAAAATTTCTAGGATTAGTTGGATATTGATGCTTATGGATTGACTCATATGCCCTAAAAAGTAAACTTTTATATGAAAAGCTTACCCAGTGGAAACTGGACCGTCTCCTGTGGACTTCTGAGGAAGTCAATCAGGTTGAAGAGCTGAAATACAAACTCATAACTGCCCCTGTCTTAGCCTTAGCTTCCCTAGAAAAGCCATTTCATCTTTTTGTTAATGTAAATAACGGGGTAGCTTTAGGGGTTCTTACTCAAGAACATGGTGGTCACCGGCAGCCCGTAGCCTTCCTATCAAAAATTTTAGACCCAGTCACCTGTGGGTAGCCTCAGTGCATCCAATTCGTTGCAGCTACAGCAGTATTAGTTGAAGAAAGTAGAAAATTAATCTTTGGGGGGAAATTGACTGTAAGCACACCCCACCAAGTTAGAGCTATTTTAAATAAAAAAGCAGGAAGGTGGCTCACTGACTCCAGAATCTTAAAATAGGAGGCTATTTTACTAAAAAGATGATTTAACCTTGACTACTGATAACTCACTCAATCCGAGAGGTTTCTTAACAGGGGACCCAAATCTAAAAAGAGAACACTTATGTCTAGATCTAACTGACTACCAAACAAAGGTCAGGCCGGATCTAAGAGAGACCCCTTTCAAAATGGGGTGACACTTATTTATAGATGGTTGATCCCAAGCAATTAAAGGAGAAAAATACAATGGGTATTCAGTAATTGATGGAGAAACTCTTGAAGAAACAGAGTCAGGAAGGTTGCCCAATAGTTGGTCTGCCAAAGCATGTGAACTATTTGCACTCAGCCAGGTTTTAAAACACTTACAGAGCAAGGAAGGAACTATTCATACTGATTCTAAATACATTTTTGGAGTAGCTCATATATTTGGAAAAATTTGGGCTGAGCAAGGTCTTATTAATACTAAAGGCCAGGCCAGGCGCGGTGGCTCATGCCTGTAATCCCAGCACTTTGGGAGGCTGAGGTGGGCGGATCACGAGGTCAGGAGATCAAGACCATCCTGGCTAACATGGTGAAACCCCGTCTCTACTAAAAATACAAAAAAATTAGCCAGGTGTGGTAGCGGGATCCTGTAGTCCCAGCTACTCAGGAGGCTGAGGCAGGAGAATGGCGTGAACCCGGGAGGTGGAACTTGCAATGAGCTGAGATCGTGCCACTGCACTCCAGCCTGGGTGACAGAGCAAGACTCCGTCTCAAAAAAACACCAAAAAACAAAAAAAAACTAAAGGCCAAAATATCTTACCCACGAGGAGCTAATCGTCCATGTTTTAAACAATCTCCAGTTGCCAGAAGAAATAGCCATTGTACATGTCCCCGGACACCAAAACGACTTTTCCTTTACAAGTCAGGGAAATAACCTTGCAGATCAAGTGGCTAAACAGGCTGCCATTTCATCTGAAACAACTTTCACTTAACCCCTTGTCTTCCTCCCCCTGCTGCAACCCCTACCTTGTCTGCTGCAGAAAAGGAAAAATTAATAAAAATGGAGCCAAAGAAAACTCAGAAGGAAAATGGGTGTTACCAGATCAAAGAGAAATGCTATTCAAACCGCTCATGAGAGAAATCCTACCCACCTGCATCAAGGGACACACTGGGGACCCCAAGCCATGTGTGACACAGTTCTCAGGGTTTATGGGTATATACCCTAGCCAAACAGGTTATGGATAGTTGCTTAACATGTAAGGAAACCAACAAACAAGTTATAAAGAAATCATCCCTGGGCGGGGAGGGATTCAGGGCTAAGACCATTCCAAAGTGTTCAAACTGATTACATTGAAATGCCCCCAATCGGTTGCCTAAAGTACTTAGTAATAGCAGATCACCTCACTCACTGGGTCGAAGCTATTCCCTTTTCAAATGCAATGGCCAATCATGTAGTTAAAGCATTAATTGAAAATATAGTGCCCAGGTTTGGGCTAATAGAAAATATTGACTCAGACAGTGAAACCTATTTCATAGCACATATCATTAAAAAGCTATCCTAAGCGCTAGACATTAGATGGAAATATCATACTCCTTGGCACCCACCTTCATCAGGGAGAGTAGAAAGGATGAATCAGACCTTAAAGAACCATTTAACCAAGTTAGTTCTATAGATTCGGTTGCCAGGGATCAAATATCTTCCTATTGCCCTGTTAAGAATCCAAACGGCGGTTCCACCGCTGTCGCCGCCGTAGTGCGGCATGCCGCTCGGCGGAGGGGCCGGGCCTGCGTTCTCTCCTCCTTCCTCCCCGCCTCTGGCTGCCGGCAGGACCTTTCTCTCGCTGCTACTGGGACCCCGTGTCATAGCCCAGGCTGAGCACGATGCCCCCTCAAAAGGGAGGTGATGGAATTAAACCACCCCCAATCATTGGAAGATTTGGAACCTCACTGAAAATTGGTATTGTTGGATTGCCAAATGTTGGGAAATCTACTTTCTTCAATGTATTAACCAATAGTCAGGCTTCAGCAGAAAACTTCCCATTCTGCACTATTGATCCTAATGAGAGCAGAGTACCTGTGCCAGATGAAAGGTTTGACTTTCTTTGCCAATATCACAAACCAGCAAGCAAAATTCCTGCCTTTCTAAATGTAGTGGATATTGCTGGCCTTGTGAAAGGAGCTCACAATGGGCAGGGCCTGGGGAATGCTTTTTTATCTCATTTTAGTGCTTGTGATGGCATCTTTCATCTAACACGTGCTTTTGAAGATGATGATATCACACATGTTGAAGAAAGTGTAGATCCTATTCGAGATATAGAAATAATACATGAAGAGCTTCAGCTTAAAGATGAGGAATGACTGGGCCCATTATAGATAAACTAGAAAAGGTGGCTGTGAGAGGAGGAGATAAAAAACTAAAACCCAAATATGATATAATGTGCAAAGTAAAATCCTGGGTTATAGATCAAAAGAACCTGTTCGCTTCTATCATGATTGGAATGACAAAGAGATTGAAGTGTTGAATAAACACTTATTTTTGACTTCAAAACCAATGGTCTACTTGGTTAATCTTTCTGAAAAAGACTACATTAGAAAGAAAAACAAATGGCTGATAAAAATTAAAGAGTGGGTGGACAAGTATGACCCAGGTGCCTTGGTCATTCCTTTTAGTGGGGCCTTGGAACTCAAGTTGCAAGAATTGAGTGCTGAGGAGAGACAGCAGTATCTGGAAGCGAACATGACACAAAGTGCTTTGCCAAAGATCATTAAGGCTGGGTTTGCAGCACTCCAACTAAAATACTTTTTCACTGCAGGCCCAGATGAAGTGCGTGCACGGACCATCAGGAAAGGGACTAAGGCTCCTCAGGCTGCAGGAAAGATTCACACAGATTTTGAAAAGGGATTCATTATGGCTGAAGTAATGAAATATGAAGATTTTAAAGAGGAAGGTTCTGAAAATGCAGTCAAGGCTGCTGGAAAGTACAGACAACAAGGCAGAAATTATATTGTTGAAGATGGAGATATTATCTTCTTCAAATTTAACACACCTTAACAACTGAAGAAGAAATAAAATTTAGTTACTGCTCAGATAAACATACAACTTCCAAAAGGCATCTGATTTTTTAAAAATTAAAATTTCTGAAAACCAATGGGACAAATAAAGTTGGGGAGATGGGAATCTTTGACAAACAAATTATTTTTGTTTTAAAATTAAAATACTGTGTACCCTCTCCCCCCAATGAAATGCAAGTTCACTAAATGTGAACACCTTTGCTTTTCATGTGATTAAGACCCTACTCCAAATTATAGAAGCTTTTCAAGAACCATGTTACTCTCATGATACTTCATTAATCTCCATCATGTATGCCAAGCCTAACACATTTGACAGTGAGAACAATGTGGCTTGCTCCTTTTTGAATCTACAGATAATGCATGTTTTATAGTACTCCAGATGTCTACACTCAATAAAACATTTGACAAAACCAAATAAAAAAAAAAGAATCCAAACTGCTCCTCGAAAAGATACTGGCCTTTCCCCTTACAAGATGCTCTATGGATTGCCTTATTTACACTCCACTGCTGATGTTCCAAAAACACCAGTTCCTCAGGAATTATATTCTTAGTCTCTCCCCTACTTTCTCTTTTCTTAAAACCAAAGGTCTCCTAGCACAGGCTCTGCCTCTGGAGTTCCCAGTACATCAACATCAGCCTGGGGATCACGTCCTTATCAAGAGCTGAAAAGAGGAGAAACTTGAGCCAGCCTGGGAAGGACCTTACCTGGTGCTTCTAACCACTGAAACTGCAGTCCGGACAGCAGAAAAAGGATAGACCCATCACACCTGAGTCAAGAAAGCACTGTCACCTCCAGAGTCATGGGCCATTATCCCAGGGGAAAACCCCCTCAAACTAAAGCTAAGAAAAGTTTAACTCTCTTTCGTCTACTCTATTACTCTTTCTTCTTTCCTCATTCTGTTGCTGACCACCTTGTTATCAATGTGACTAAATCAAACTCACCCCAAGTTATTATGTTTGATGCCTGTTTAGTCATACCCTGTAGAGATCTCCAAAGTCAAAGGCAACTCTCAGCCTTAGAAAAGTATCTCTGCCACTTTAAAATAAAAGGCTCCCGCTACCAAGACTCTTGCTCCTCATAAAATATAGGGAAACAGGTCTGCCATAGCTGGAATGATGTTCTGTGGACAACTGAGTATCAAGGCTGGACCTCATCAACATGTGGCTGTATATACTTAAAATCATACATTCACTTTACTAAAGGAAGCACCCCTCCCCTCGATTTTCAGTATAACCAGTGTAATCCAGTGCAGATTTCTACTCTCACTCCGGCCTCTACCGACCCTCTAGACCTACTTTGAGTCGCTTCTATGGCATAGGGACCAACGCGGCACAGACCTCATAGGGTCTTTTGAAATGCGTTTTATTA